>NW_011332696.1:300000-541038 GCF_000001405.40 Homo sapiens
GCTACGGTAGGTTAAAAAAATACAAACATATCAGCTTGTTCAAAAGATCCCTAAACTGGTTGGCCATGGTGGCTCACGCCTATAATCCCAGCACTTTGGGAGGCTAAGGCAGGAGGATGGTTTGAGGCCAGGAGTTGGAGACCAGCCTGGACAACATAGGGAGATCCTGTCTCTTAAACAAAAAAATCTCCAAACTGTTGATACTTGACATTTCATTGAAATGTGTGCAAAATGGAAAAACACAAATTGCTAAATGAGAATCTGATAACGCCGCCTCTCTACCAGATGCTGTGGTTTATTTCTAGCATGATAGGACAGAAGAGAAGAGAAATGTGTGGAGGAGGACCAGGCAAATTAAGGAAAAGGTGGGAGGTGCACAGCAGAGAAGCCGGAGGGGCTCAGCAGGGCAGCAAGAGGCTTACAAAGATGGAAAGGGTTCTCCGTCTTCCTAAGGGGCCAAGGCCAGGGAAAAAAGTGGGCCGGAGGGTGACCTGAGCAGGAAAGGTTGGCAGGGAGAATGCGGGGGAAGGTGTGGGCTTCTGCAAGACATGCCACCTAAGACTGAGATGACAAATGGGGAGCAAGTAATCATCAGGAGAGATTTCAGTGGGGGCATGAGGCAGGCAAGAAAGGTATGTGGAAGCTGTGGGAAATGAGGCAATAGAGCAGGAGAGAGGGAGCAGAATCCCTGTGGTGTGTCTCTGACAGGGAGGAGGAGGAGGGGCCAGGCAGGGTCTGGTCTCCGCTCTGAGCACTGAGGCCACAGCAGCAGCAGAACAGCAACAACGACAACAAAAAACCAGAGATATATCGTTCCAGCACTGTGCGCAGAGGAGGGAGGCTATCTGGGAGATTTCATTTGGACTCTCAAAGATTAGAATTTTGGAGCCAATGTCATAGGTCATGAGGATGATGGGACCAATATTTGAAATCATGATGACCACACTGTAGACACAGAGGGCAGAAAAACCATACAGTCCCGATGCCTGCTGAGGAGAAACCAGCCCCAGATCCTGCTCCTGCTCCATGAAGCTTAGAATTTTTCTCCTGATCACACACCCCATTTATCACAGCTCAAACTGGAAAGACCTGTTCAAGCAATCAAGTGCAGGGAATGACCAGGTGAATTGCCATGTATCACTCTGCTGCTAGGCTAACCATCTCACATTAGAACTGCAGAAAACACAAGGAAAGAAGCAGAGGAATGTCCTGGCATTTCTCAGTCCACTCACTCCTGCTCTCTTTTCCTTTTTCTTCCTCAATTCACCTCCATGCCAGTTTCCAAACTGGTCCTCAGTCTCCTCTTTCCTACAGACGGATCCAGAGGCAGCTACGGATTCATGCCATCTCGTGACTACTCTCTAAGCCTTACCCCTCTGAGAGGTTCTTTGCACTGTCACTCTGTCACTTATTCGTCCATCTAGGACAGGGCTCAGCAAACTACGGCCTGATGGACAAATCTGGCCTGCCATCTGTCTTTGTATGACTTGCAAGCTAAGAATGGTTTTTACGTTTTTTAAAATTTTTATTTGTTTTGAGACAGAGTCTCACTCTGTCGCCCAGGCTGGAGTGCAGTGGTATGATCTCGACTCACTGCAACCTCTGCCTTCCAGATTCAGGCGATTCTCCTACCTCTGCCTCCTGAGTAGCTGGGATTACAGGCGCGTGCCACCACACCTGGGTGATTGTTCTATTTTTAGTAGAGGTGAGGTTTCACCATGTTGGCCAAGCTGGTTTCAAACTCCTGACCTCAGGTGATCCACCCCCTTCGGTCTCCCAAAGTGCTGGGATTATAGAGGTGAGCCACCATGCCTGGCCAGTTTTTATATTTCTTTTAATGGCTGAAAAATAATCAAAAGAAAATTGTGTGACACAGGAAAGGTATACAAAATTCAAATTTCTGTATTTCAAAACCTAAAGTACTGGTGTGAAAAGCCTAAAATACTATTTGGCCCTTGGCAGAAAAAGTTGGTGGACATCTGCTCTAGGATATAGTATTCTACTCTAAAGTAGAATTTGGGTCAAATGAAATATATTTGAAAATATATATATATATATTTTTGAGACAGGGTCTTGCTCTGTCACCCAGGCTGGAGTGCAGTGGCACAAACACAGCTCACTGCAGCCTCAACCTCCTGGGTTCAAGCAATCCTCCCACCTCAGCCTCTTGAGCAGCTGGGGCCACAATGCCATGCCACCATGCCCAGCTAATTTTTGTATTTTTTGTAGAGACAGAATTTTGCCATGTTGCCCAGGCTGGTCTTGAACTCCTGGAATCAAGCAATCCGCCCACCTCAGCCTCCCAAAGTGCTGGAATTACAGGTGTGAGCCATCATACTTGGCCTATAATTCATTTTAAAGTTAAAAAAGAAAAAGACTGTTTAAGTAAACACTCTGTGATGTGTGTGAAATCAGAACTTAAATATGGCCATTGACAAGAATGGCCAAAACAGCTGTTTTCTTTCTCAAGCATGCAAGCTCATAAATAAAGCAAAGCTAGGGCCAGTCCCACTTCTTGATAAGATTCCTCTGTTGGCAGAGGTCCTAGAACCACAAAGGGATCCTCCACACCTGCTCCATTCGCCTCACCCACTCATGTTTGCCATTGGGGCATGGTGCTTCCTCTCAGTCACGCAGAGATGAGCCACAAAGGGAGCTGCAAAGCAGCTCAGCGCCCTTAACTCCTCTTTGGAGTTTTATTTTCAAACGACTTCACTGAGTTGAAAAATGAGAGACTGACTATTACTGGGACCCCAGCTGAGCAAACAGACTCCCAATTTATTCTATGTCTGAATTCTCCTATTCTTCCAGTCCTTGGTAAAAATGACATGCCATGAAGCTGCCAACAACAACAATAAAAGATTAAATACCAAACTGCAATGGCTTTAGAGAATGAACAGAATCCACTGTCATCTTTCAAACTCTTGGTCCGTAAATATTAGTCAATGGGATATAGGAAATAGAGGCTGGGCACGGTGGCTCATGCCTGTAATCCCAGCACTTTGAGAGGCCGAGGCAGGATGATTGCTTGAGGCCAGGAGTTTGAGACCAGCCTGGGCAACATACTGAGACCCCCCCATTGCTACAAAACATTTTAAAAAATTAGCCTGGCATGGTGGTGCATTATCTGTAGTCCCAAATACTTGGGAGGCTGAATGGAGAGGACTGCTTGAGCTCAGGAGGTGGAGGCTGCAGTGAGCCATGATCGCGCCGCTGCAGTGAGCCATGATCGCGCCACTGCACTGCAGCCTGGGCAACAGAGTGAGATGCTGCCTTAAAAAAAAAGAAAAAAAAAAAGAGAGAGAGAGACAGAAAAGAAAAAGAAATAGAGTTCTTCCAGAAACAAACCACCAAACAGATAATCTGTATTTAATTTCACTCCAGGCAGGAGGCAGATAATTCATTTTTAATGGGGTAATATGAATTCATCAACATGGACAGATTCATACACAGAATTACAAACACAACTTGCACACATCCTGTAGATATAAACAGTCCTTTGCATACTATGTCCGGGGTTGGTGCCACGTTGCCCCTAGGTGTCCATCAACCTGCTCAGGGGCCGGCAACGCCCCCTGGTGGCTGCCACAAGAACAGTTTAATTCTAATTTCACTTCATTACCTTCACACTCGCCCTAAAAAGATTTATGCACATGCCAAGTTCCCTTTTTTCCGTTCCCATTGGCAAGGAACTTCATCCCATACATGCTCTTTTATATGTGCATTACAAAAGTAACAACACTCCAGAAGTATTAGAAAACAAATTCAGCTGTAATTTCTATCATCGTATCCTAACAACAATTATTTACACAATACTCTGTGCTTCACGCTCCTGTTTGAGAGGATGTTTGACCCATCAGGCTTCCCTGGCACATGAACAAAACTCAGACACAGCCTCAGCTAGGGGGCAAAGCAGTGTCAACACGCAGGCACCCTGGGCAGTATCATTCCCCGAAGCCCCTCATACTTAATGCAGTCAAGAGAGAACCCTAGATTCCACTCCACCTAGATTCCATTCCACAACCCTAAAACTACTCAAGTTTCCCCCAGTGCAGCAAATGGTGTCACCATTCATCTGGATGCTCAAGGCAAAAACTAGGACTTGGCCTTGATGGTTCTTTTTTTCTGGTTCCCCAGACCCACACCACCAGCAAGTCCTGTCAACTCTACTTCGGAATAGCCCATATGTCCACTACTCTCTCCATCTCGCCCGCCACTCCCTGTTTCTTCACCCAGATCTCACCTGCGCCTCCTAACCAGTCTTTCCATTTCCACTTTGCTGCTGTGTCACTGTCCATTCCCAAGAGGGCGGCTACGGTGAGCTTTGAGAAATCACCTTTTTTTTTTCTTCTCCCCGAGACAGAGTCTTGCTCTGTCGTGCAGGCTAGAGTGCAGTGGCGCAATCTCAGCTCACTGCAACCTCTGCCTCCTGGGTTCAAGCAATTCTCCCGCCTCAGCCTCCTGAGTAGCTGGGATTACAGGCACGCACCAGCACACCCGGCTAATTTTTGTATTTTTAGTAGAGACGGGGTTTCACCATGTTGGCCAGGCTGGTCTCGAATTCCTGACGTTGTGATCTGCCCGCCTCAGCCTCCCAAAGTGCTGGGATTACATACATGAGTCAGGAGGTCAGGAATTTGAGACCAGCCTGGCCAACATGGCGAGACCATGTCTACTAAAAATACAAAAATTAGCCAGGCATGGTGATGCTTGCCTGTAGTCCCAGCTACTCAGGAGGCTGAGGCAGGAGAATCACTTGAACTTGGGAGGCAGAGGTGGCACTGAACCGACACTGCATCACTGAACTCCAGCCTGGGTGAAAAGAGTGAGACTCCATCTCAAAAAAAAAATAAAAATAAAACTCCCAACAGCTTCCCACCACACACCTAAAAACTCCCGGCCGGGCACGGAGGCTCATGCCTGTAATCCCAGCACTTTGAGAGGCCGAGGTGGGTGGATTACCCGACATCAGGAGTTCGAGACCAGCCTGGCCAATGTGGTGAAACCCTATCTCTACTAAAAATACAAAAATTAGCCACGTGTAGTGGCATATGCCCCTCCTAAGGCGGAGGTTGCAGTGAGCTGAGATCGCGCCACTGCACTCCACCCTGGGCAACAGAGTGAGACTCTGTCTCAAAAACAACAACAACAAACAAAAAAACTCCCTCCTATGACTTACAAGGTGTTATGTGATCTGGCCCTCCCCACCGTTTTGCATATCACTCTCTGCGTATTTCACAATGAGTCAACCAGCTGGGATTGGAGTGTTGGTTTTTCAAACACTCCAAAGCATTCTGCCTGAGGACCTTGGACTTGGAAGGTCTTCCCCTGATCTCCTCACATCTGGCTCCTCACTATTCAGATCTCAGTTTAGGGGTTACAACTTTACTTACTGATTGTCTATTATACCGTCCTGTCTCAATTCTGTGCATAGCACTTGTGACTATATTTTTCTTGATTATTTATTTATTATGGTTATTGTCTCTCTCCCCTAAAACATAAGTTCCAGAAGGGAGAACCTTGTTTTCCTATTTTTTTTTTAGAGATAGTATCTCACTTTGTCACCCAGGCTAGAGTGTAGTGGCATGAACACAGCTCACTGCAGCTTTGACCTCCTGGTCTCAAGGAATTCTCCTGCCTTGGCCTCCCAAGTAGCTGGGACTACAAGCTCATGCCACCATGCCCGGCTAATTTTTTTAATTTTTTGTGGATATGAGGTCTCATCATGTTGCCCAGGCTGGTCTCTAACTTCTGGGCTCAAGTGATCCTCCCACCTCCCAGAGTGCTGGAATTATAGGCATGAGCTACCACATGGCCAGAACCTTGTTTTTCATGTTTAGTGTTGTTTCCTTAGGGCATAGAAAGTACTTGGCACATAGGAGATGCTAAATAATATTTGTTATTTATTGAACAAATGAACAAGTAGAATATTAAAAATCAAGAGTATGATGATAACTTTCTAAAACTTAAATAAAAGAAAAATTGAAGCTGGGTGTAGTGGCTCACGCCTGTAATCCCAGCACTTTGGGAGGCTAAGGAGGGTGGATCACCTGAGGTCAGGAGGTGAGACCAGCCTGGCCCACATGGTGAAACCCCATCTCTACTAAAAATACAAAAAAAAAAAAATAGCTGGGCATGGTAGTGGGTGCCTGTAACCCCAGCTACTTGGGAGGCTGAGGCATGAGAATTGCTTGAAGCCAGGAGGTGGTGGTTGCAGTGAGCTGAGATCGCACCACTGCACTCCAGCCTGGGCGACAGAGTGAGACTCTCTCTCAAAAAACAACAACACTCATGCCTGTAATCCCAGCACTTTGGGAGGCCAAGGCAGGCGGATCACGAGGTCAGGAGATTGAGACCATCCTGGCTAACACGGTGAAACCCCATCTCTACTAAAAGTACAAAAACAAAATTAGCCGGGCGTGGTGGCGGGCACCTGTAGTCCCAGTTACTCAGGAGGCTGAGGCGGGAGAATGGCCTGAACCCGGGAGGCGGAGCTTGCAGTGAGCCGAGATCGCACCACTGCACTCCATCCTGGGCAACAGAGTGAGACTCCATCTCGGAAAAAGCAAACAAACAAGCAACAACAACAACAAACCCCACTAAATTCTGTAATTCTGATTTTATGCAAATACTGTCTATGAAGGGTCCACAGAATTACCTAAGCAACATTAATTTGTTTTCACCTTTTTTATATGGATAATCTCAAAAAAAAGAAAAATTGATACTGAAACCACTTCAACTTGAAAAATTAACAAGCCAAAGTCTCAGCAAAACATATCCCAGGAATTATATTAATTTTTTTGCTATTTATTTTCCATTCTGAATTAATATGTAAGTTCCATGAACATGGAGATTGTAGTTCTAGTGCTTTGGACAGAATCTGGCACATGGTAAATGTTTAATAAATATTTCTTGAATGAATTTCCTTTCCAGTCTAGACAATAAAATCCAGTGAGTTTGATTTCAGACGAGATTGGGTGCGTTCAGGGTGGTATGGCCATAAAAAGTTTGATTTCAGATAATGTGATTATAATGGGAACTTAATAACAAATATACTAGAACTTTCTATATTAACACAAGTCTTCACCCTTTCAAAACAATCACCCTGGAGACCTGTATACTTATTCCAGTGTTGCCGACCTTGTTCTAAAGAGGTGCTTCAAAAACGTTTCATACAAGGTTTGTGTGTCTTTTATCTCATGAAGGTAAAAACAGAAACAAACCAGAACAAATACTACCATGGCTTTCATTGGAAATCAAATTTTGGTTTAATAAATTGAATTTCCAGTCATGAGATTTTCTGATATGTCTGGTACCCCTTCTGGTAGTTTTATTTAGACTCTTGTAGAAAATCTTTCACATGAACCAGTCTTAAATTATTCCAATCACAAAAGAAAAAGTATAATGCTTTCATTACCTGTAATTATCCTGTAACTCATAAGTCCTTTTGCTGGTTTCAATGGACAGGCTTCCTCGTTGGGACAGAAAAATAGGTAGCAGTTGGGTTGTCTAGCTGTTTTTCGAGTGTCGAAGATCATCAAGTTACATGCTTTGTCCCCTGCAATGAAAGGTTTCATAAGCATGATTTTGAAATGCGATTTTCTAAAGAGTAGGGCAAGTAGGAAAAACTTCACTTATTATGGAGTCCAACACAAACACCTTTGTTCATTTTGTTCACTTGCTTGCTGACCGCTGAATCATTTCCTTTTCCTTAGCTTAGTTGCTTAAGGCAATTTTAAAAAACATTGGGTTTAGCTTTTTTTTTTTCACAAGGTGGCACCGAAGGCGAAGAAGGAAGCTCCTGTCCCTCCTAAAGTCAAAGCCAAAGCAAAGTCTTTAAAGGCCAAGAAGGCAGGGCTGAAAGGCATCCACAACCACACACACACAAACACACACACACACACACACACACACACCCCTAAGACCTGCATGTCACTTACCTCCAGCAGCTCAAGACACTGTGGCTCCAGAGGCAGCCCGAGTATCCCGGGAAGAGTGCTCCCACATGTTTGACCACTCTGCCATCATCAAGCCCTGACTACTGATGTGCTATGAAGATAGAAGACAACCACACACTGGTGTTCACTGTGGATGCCAGGGCCGGCAAGCACCAAAGAGGCTGTGAAGAGGCTCTCTGACACTGATGTGGCCAAGGTTACACCCTGAGCAGGCCTGATGGAGAGAAAGAGGCATGCGCTCTGCTGGCCCCTGCCCACAATGCTTTGCATGTTGCCTACAAAACTGGGATTATTTATTTTTTTTATTTTTTATTTTTTGAGATAATGTCTTGCTCTGTCGCTCAAGCTGAAGTGCAAATGCAGTGGCATGATTTCAGCTCACTGCAACCTCCACCTCCCAGGTTCAAGAGATCCTCCCACTTCAGCCTCCCGAGTAACTGGGACTACAGATGCAAGCCACCACACTCGGATTTTTTTTGGTATTTTTTGTAGAGATGGAGTCTCTCTATATTGCCCAGGCTAGTCTTGAACTCCTGGGCTCAAGCTGTTTGCCCTAGTTGGCCTCTGAAAGTGCTGGGATTACAGGTGTAAGCCACTGCACCTGGCCATCTCTTGGATTCTGAAAGCATCTCAGATGCCTAATAAAGCCATGAGTGGAGTCAGTAAATTATCATAGATATCATGGCTCCTTCCACACAGGATCTGAGTAGTATATGGAATACAGTCTATCTTTTAATTTTTATCTGTACCATTCTTTGTGTTTTTCTTCCAATTACCCCTCTCTCCTTGTCATATTTGCTTTTCTATGTTCCTTCCTTCCTTACTTTTCACTGTTAACTATAATTTCTGGTCTCTTTTCTTTTCTTTTTTGAGTCAGGGTCTTGCTCTGTCATCCAAGCTGCAGTGCAGTGGAACAATCATGGCTCACTTCAGCCTTGACCTCCTGGGCTCAAACAATCCTCCCACCTCAGCCTCCCCAGTAGCTGGGACTTCAAGCGTGCACCACCATGCCTGGCTAATTTTTTGTTTTTTGTAGAGGCGGGGTCTCACTATGTTGCCTAGGCTGATCTTGAACTCTTGGGCTCAAGCAATCCATCCCCCTCAACCTCCCAAAGTACTGGGATTACAGGCATGAGCTAATGCACCCAGCTGCTGGCTTCTTTTTCTGTTCCTCTTGTGTCCAACAGAAATTAAACCCTCTATTCATCATGGCCTAGATTTGATTTTGTCCTCCATTTGGTACAGTCTCACATCTTTGGGAGGTCAGCGTATCCCTGGTCAGGCTGAAGGTTAAGAGACACATAGGCTAATTGTTAAAAACATACGCTCTGTCGACCATCACCACCACTGGTGCTAGTCAGGCAATGGTGAGAGATCAACTCCAACTCCCGAGATGGGAAGGAAGATTTAGTTAGCCTCTGCAGGAGTTTTATCACGTCATATCCCCATTACTCAGATAATAACAGGAGTACTCCTGCTTTTCCTTTCTCAACAATGTGATACCAGAAATACCTTTCTTTTTAGCACTTAGGTAAAGGGGAGGGTCCATAAGCTCAAAATTGTATGCAAGATATTGTGCCCATCGTGTTATGTGCATTTTTCTAGAGTATCATCGAGTTATCATAGTGCCTTTTGAACCCTCGGTGGTTAAACCATTTCTCAGGAAGTGAGGAAAATGTTTGAGATCCATTAACTGAGGTTCCAAGTACCTCTGCTTGTAGCAAAGCAGTAATAGGACTTTGGCTTCTAGAATAAAACAGCAAACCCTCGTTTCTTAGAATTGAGGAGCAGGGCTTTGCTGATGCCTGTAAATACCACACTTACAGTATTCAGTCCTGCTTGCAGGTGATGTTTCTATTTCACATACATGTTGATGTCAACATTTAAAGAAAAACTAGAAATTTAAATTAAACCTCTGTCATTTCCATAAATTACTTGCATAAAGTGTCCCAAAGCACACTGCTCAATGAGACCATCGAAGGGATTTTTCCTCCTGACCCCAAGTATACGGTGTCTTCTCCACACCATTTTGCAGCAATAACCACATATCCTACTATTGAGTTCAATTCTGACACCAACTATCCAGAGCTGGCATCAGATTCCATGGATTATGGGCTCGGTATCACAAGACTGCCCTCATTTCAGAAGCCAGTAGCAAGTATCAGGTCTCCAGGTCACCCACACTTCTGCCTGACTCGGCTACTGCTAATTCAGGGATTCCCATGATCCTACCCCCTCAGATTTGATAATTTGCAAGAACAACTAATAGAACTAAGGAAAATGCTGTATTTACTATTACAGTTTATAATAAGGGATACAAATGAACAGCCAAAAGAGGCTCCTAGAGTCCCAAGTGCAGGAGACTTTGTCCCTGGGGAACTGAGGTGCATAATTCTCTTGACACTGGGATGTGTTCACCAACTTGGATGCTT
Source organism: Homo sapiens (assembly GCF_000001405.40). NCBI lineage: Eukaryota > Metazoa > Chordata > Mammalia > Primates > Hominidae > Homo > Homo sapiens. The sequence goes on from NW_011332696.1 coordinate 310,391, forward strand.
CCCGATCATCTAGGGGTTTTTATGATGGTCTCATTTTACACAAGCATGATTGATTAAGTCATGGGCCACTGTGACTGAACTCAATCTCCAGTCCCTCCCCTGAGGTGAAGCCTCACTAGCACAAACTCAAGTATAGTTGAAAGGGGCTGGTTATGAATAACCAAAGACATGCTCCCATCTCTTGGGAAATTCCAAGGTTTTTAGGAGTTCTGTGCCAGGAACTGGAGACAAAGATCAAATATGTATCTTTTGAGACAAGGTCTTGCTTTGTCACCCAGGCTGGAGTGCAGTGGTTCGATCAAAGCTCACTGTAGGCTGGGTGCGGTGGCTCACACACTTTGGGAGGCCAGCACTTTGGGAGGCCAAGGTGGGAGGATCATTTGAAGTCAGGAGTTCAAGACTAGCCTGACCAACATGGTGAAACCACGTCTCTATTGAAAATAGTAAAAATTAGCTGGATGTGGTGGCGAACACCTGTAATCTCAGCTACCCGGGAGGCTGAGGCAGGAGAATCACTTGAACCTGGGAGGCAGAGAATGCAGTGAGCCAAGATTGCGCCACTGCGCTCCGTCCGGCCTGGGCAACAGAGTGAGACATCATCACAGACAAACAAACAAAAAAGTCCACTGCAGCCTCAACCCCCTAGGATCAAGTGATCCTCCCACCTCAGCCTCCCAATAGCTGGGACTACATGCGTGCACCAGCACGCCTGGCTGATTTTTTACTTTTTACAGAGAACAGGGTCTTGCTATGTTGCCCAGGCTGCTCTCAAACTCCTGGGCTCAAGCAATCCTCCTGCCTTGGCCTCTCAAAGTTCTGGGATTACAGGAATGATTCACCACACCCGGCCATTCACTAGCTTTTCTAGGCAACTTGATGGCAAGGCCTTGTCCATCTTATTCACTGTTTTCTCTCTGGCAACTAACAAAGTGTTAAGTACTCAAGAAATTTAGTTTTTTTCATTTAGAGAACTCGGACAGGGTCATAAGTAAAATTGAAAAAAGGTTTTACTAAAATACACAGTATACTTCTCTTTTCAGTACAAATACTTAAATCCTAAAATATGCAAGTCCTGGTTCAAACCTATGGGTCTCAGTTTCCTCCTGTGTCATGAAAATGGGCCAGACTAATTGATTCCCCATCCCATTAGAGTTCTAGAAGCTGTAGTTACCTAGTAGTCAGTGTTTTTTTGTTTTTTTTTTTTTTTTTTTTTTTTGACTTATCCTATGCCACCAGCTCCAAGGAAGGAGACGAAGTGGAGGTTTTATGCTTCCAACTTAAAGATCAAATGCTGATTTTCCCAAGAGATAAGAATTCTATTTTTTGTCTCAACCCCTTTTCTCTGTTTACATTTTCTTTGTAATATCACACTGTATTCCAATACTCCATGCTGATGGCAGCTAACCATTTCAATAGGATTTTTGTTTTCAATATTCTAGATACCAGTTGGGATATAACACCAGTGATTCTCAACCTCTTGTCTACCCAGTCACCTGAGGGATATATACATACATTCATCAATAACTTTGACTCAGCTTAGGAGAGGGGAGGGCACACTTGTAGAAAATTCTCCAGTGATTTTGTCACTTATATTCATACCCTGTCGAGAATCACTGGTATAAGTTATTCAGCCACATCCCCCAGCTCCTGAAGCCACAAAACACATGGAACAAAGGATTGCCAAGAAACCACTATTTACCTGATATGTTTTTTGTTGAACAGCAAGAATTAATGCAGTCTTCTTGAGTTGAAGTATATACGGGCTCATTGCCTCTGATTCCCTTAGAAAGAGATGACTGGATGTCAATGACAACATCTTCTAGACTCTTTTTGAGGCAATTCTGACTAGCAGACAGCCTTAGTGTCAGGAAGCAAATTATTACCAAAGTGTAAGTCAAGCTCCCTTCTCCCCCGAAGAACATTTTAAATTTCAGTTTAGTTTTGGTCTTCAAAGGTCAAGGATAATCCTCCCTCTGGTCTTAGTTTGCTTTAAGAAGGCTGCACAGATGATGAGATTTCTCTCTAGAACAAAAATGGAAAATCATCAATGAGTTTTGTTTCTTTAACAAACAAGGGAAGAAACATTTCATTTCCTTAAAGTCAATGAAAAGGATCCACATACAATTTAGAGAAGAAAAGATACACGTATTTTTTGTTTCACTTTTAGTAAATTTAAGACAACTTTTCATTAAACATTTGGCAAAGAACTAATAAGCATAAACAAACATACTACCTCACCAATGCTTAAAAGCTGACAATGCTTATGAAGGAACAGGTATAAACAGTAGGCCTGCCTCGGAATTCTACAATCCTTCCCTCTTCTAACTCAGAGCGGAGAGGGCACACATTTCTAGTCACTGATGAAGCAGTAGTAATAGGTTTGAGCATATTTCCTTTCTCAGTAATAACAATCAGCATTTTAAAATCATCTACTAGGGGCTAGGCGTGGTAGCTCATGCCTGTAATCTCAGCACTTTGGAAGGCTGAGGTGGGTGGATTGCTTGAGCTCAGGAGTTCAAAACCAGCCTGGGCAACATGGTGAAACCCTGTCTCTACTAAAAATACAAAAAATTAGCTGGGTGTGGTGGCGCATGCCTGTGGTCCCAGCGACTTGGGAGGCTGAGGTGGGAGGATCGCTGGAGCCCAGGAAGTTGAGGCTGCAGTGAGCCGTGATTACACCACTGCACTCCAGCCTGGGTGACAAAGCGAGACCATGTCTCAAAAAAAACTTAAAAAGTAAAAATAGGTGACAATATACTAGATGGTAGACATTGTGCTAAGGAATTTACCACTCTTTTGAATTGTTATTCTCTTTAATTTATTACCATCTTTAATCTTTATACCAACTGTAATGGCTAATACTGAGTGTCAACTTGATTTGATTAAAGGATACAAAGTATTGATTCCGGGTGTGTCTGTGAGCATGTTGCCAAAGGAGATTAACATTTGAGTCAGTGGGCTGGGAAAGGCAGACCCACCCTGAATCTGGGTGGGCACAACCAAATCTGCTGCCAGTGCAGTTAGAATATAAGCAGGCAGAAAATGCGAAAAAGAGAGACTGGCCTGGCCTCCCAGCCTATATCTTTTTTTTTTTTTTTGAGACAGAGTATTGCTGTCGCCAGGCTGGAGTGCAGTGGCACAATCTCGGCTCACTGTAACCTCCACCTCTTGGGTTCGAGTGATTCCCCTGCCTCAGCCTTCCGAGTAGCTGGGACTACAGACGCATGCCACCACGCCCGGCTGGTTTTTTGTATTTTTAGTAGAGACGGGGTTTCACTGTGTTGGCCAGGATGATCTCGATCTCCTGACCATGATCCGCCTGCCTCGGCCTCCCAAAGTGCTGGGATTACAGGTGTGAGCCACCACGCCCAGCCCCAGCCTATATCTTTCTCTTGAGCTGGATGCTTCCTGCCTTCAAACATCAGACTCCAAGTTCTTCAGTTTTGAAACTCCTTGCTCCTCAGCCTGCAGATGGCCTATTGTGGGGCCTTGTGATCATGTGAGTTAATACTTAATAAACTCCCATATATATATATATATATATATATATATATATATATATATATATATATATATTACACTAGTTCTGTCCTTCTAGAGAACCCTGACTAATACAACAACCTTGCAAAAAAGCTATTATTGGCCGGGTGCGGTGGCTCATGCCTGTAATCCCAGCACTTTGGGAGGTCAAGTCACGTGGGCGGATCACCTGAGGTCAGGAGTTCGACACCAGCCTGGCCAATGTGGTGAAACCCCATCTCTATTAAAAATACAAAAATTAGTTGGGTGTGATGGCGGGCAGCTGTAATCCCAGCTACTCGGGAGGTTGAGGCAGGAGAATCACTTGAACCCGGGAAGTGGAGGTTGCAGCAAGCCACGATTGCACCACTGCACTCCAGCCTGGGTGACAAGAGCAAAACTCCGTCTCAAAAAAAAAAAAAAAAGCTATTATTTTCCTCATTTTATAATGAAGAAACTGAGATAGTCTTTCCTATTGCTGCTTCTCCTTAAGAAGTATCAAATCAGAGTTAGAAAACTCTAATAATCTAATTCTAGAAATTAGCCAGTCAGCAGGAGGAATACGCTGCCTCAGTTAAAGGAAAGTTTAGGGGCAGGTTTTCTTTTTGACAGCCTTAAAAATACAAAAGTCACACTATGTATAATGCCAACTCTATTGAGATGCTGGTTCTTTTAGGAAAAATAAATGTTAAACTGGCAAGACAATACAAGAAATTATCCTCACCTATCAACCTCCACATTTCCTTTTAACATTTCATTAAACATTTTGTTGAATACAAATTGTTTGCTGAATGATAGCTTAGAGCAGAATTACTACTTCTTTAACCTTTGTTTATTAACCCCTTTGATAGTCTGAGGAAGCTCAGGATCTCTTTTGTGAGACATATTTAAAAATGCATAAAATGGAATATGTAGGATTCCAAAGGAAGCCAGTTATAGTGAAATATAATTACCAAAATAGATTTTAGAATGTCCCTACAAAATCCTGGTGAAAGAAATCAAAGAGGAGCTAATAAATAGAGAGATATAACATGTTCATGGATAGGAAGACTTTATTTTGTTAACATATCAGTGCTTCCTGGCCAGGCGCCATGGCTCAAGCCTGTAATCCCAGCACTTTGGGAGGCCGAGGCAGGCAGATCATGAGGTCAGGAGATCACAACCATCCTGGCTAACACGGTGAAACCCCGTCTCTACTAAAAATACAAAAAGTTAGCTGGGCGTGGTGGCGGCCGCCTGTAGTCCCAGCTACTCGGGAGGCTGAGGCAGGAGAATGGCATGAACCCCAGGCGGAGCTTGCAGCAAGCCGAGATTGCGCCACTGCACTGCAGCCTGGGCGACAGAGCGAGACTCCGTCTCAAAAAAAAAAAGGTATCAGTGCTTCCCAACTTGAGCTACAGATTAAATACAGTCTTAATCAAAAGCCCAAAGTTATTTTTTGGATATCAACCAACTGATTTTAAAATTTACATGGAAATGCAGAAAAGACCAAGAACAGTCCAGAATACTAAAGAACAAAGTTGGAAGACTGATACTACCTGACTTCAACACTTACCGTAAAGCTACAATAATCAAAAAAGTATGGTATTAGAAAAAGAATAGACAAACAGATCAATGGAATGGAATAGTAAACCCAGAAATAGACCCTCACAAAGAGAGTCAACTGATCTTTGACAAAGGAGCAAAGGGGATTCAATGGAGAAAGGACAGTCTTTTCCAAAAATGGTACTGGAACAACTGGATATCCATTTGCAAAAATGAATAAATAAATAAATCTAGCCACATACTTTACACCTTTCACAAAATTTAGCTCTAAATGGATCACAGACCTAAATGTAAAATATAAAACCATAAAATTTCTAGAAAATAACAGAAGAAAATCCTTGTGACCTTAGATTAGGTGATGAGTTTTTAAATACAATACCAAAAGCACACTCCATGAAAGAAAAATTTGATGTTGGACTTCATTAAATTTAAAAACTTCTGCTCTACAAAAGATACCGTTAAAGAGAATGAAAAGATAAACCACAGACTTGGAGGAAATATTTGAGGTGGTTTTTTTTTTTTTGGAGGAAATATTTGTGAAACACACATCTGATAAAGCAGCAGTCCATAGCCTTTCTCGCACCAGGGACCAGTTTCATGGAAGACAATTTTTCCATGGACGGCGTTGTGGGGGTATGGTTCAGGATGATTCAAGTGCATTGTATTTATTGTGCACTTTATTTCTATTATTACATTATAATATATAACGACATAATTATACAACTCAACATAATGTAGAATCAGTGGGAGCCCTGAGCTTGTCTTCCTGCAACTAGACAGTACCATCTGGGGGTGATGGGAGACAGTGACAGATCATCAGGCATTAGATTCTCATAAGGAGTGTGCAGCCTAGATCCCTCACATGTGCAGTTCACAACAGGGTTCGTGCGCCGATGAGAATCTACGGCCACCACTGATCTGACAGGAGGTGGAGCTCAGGCAGTAATGCATAATGTAAATACAGAGGAAGCTTTGCTCTCTGGCCCACTGCTCACCTCCTGCTGTGTGGCCCATTTCCTAATAGGTACTGGTCTGCGGCCCAGGGGTTGGGGAACCCTGTGATAAAGGACTGGTATCCAAAATATACAAAGAACTCAAGTCAGCAATAAGAAAAGAAACTCAATGGACAGAAGATCTGAGCAGACACCTTATCAAAGAAGATATACAGATGACAAATAAGCATATGAAAAGGTATCTAACATCATATGTCATTAGGGGATTGCAAATTCAAACAAGATACCACTACCCACCTATGAGAATGGCTAAAATCCAAAAAATGGACAATACCAAATACAAGGACATGGAGCAACAGAAATTCTCGCCTGGGCGCGGTGGCTCACATCTGTAATCCCAGCACTTTGGGAGGCCAAGGTGGGCAGATCACTTGAGGTCAGGAGTTTGAGATCAGCCTGACCAACATGGTGAAACCCCATCTCTACTAAAAAAAAATACAAAAATTAGCCAGATATGGTGGCAGGTGCCTGTAATCCCAGCTACTTGGGAGGCTGAGGCAGAAGAATCGCTTGAACCCGGGACGTGGAGGTTGCAGTGAGCCGAGATCATGCCACTGCACTCCAGCCTGGGCAACAGAGTGAGACCCTATCTCAAAAAAGAAAAAAAAAAAAGGAAAAATTCTCATTCATTGCTGTTGGGGAATGCAAAATGGTACAGCCACTTTGGGAGAAGTTTGGCAGTTTCTTACCAAGCTAAATGCAGCCTTACCATACAATTCAGCAATTGTCCTCCTATGTATTCACTCAAATGAATTGAAAACTTATGTCCACACAAAAATCTGCAATAGAATATTTGTAGTAGCTTTATTCATAATTGCCAAAAACTAAAAGCAACCAAGATGCCCATCAATAGATGAATAAACAAAATGAGATACATCCATACATTGGAATATTACTCAGTAATAAAAATAAATGAACTATCAAGCCACAAAAAGACATGGAGGAATCTTAACTGCATATTCCTAAGTCAAAGAAGCCAGTCTGAACAGATATGAATCTAACTGTATGACGTTCTAAAAAAGGCAAACTACAGCGGCAGTAAGAAGGCCAGTGGTCACCAGGAGAACAGGAGTGGGAGGATGAATCGGTGGAGTGCAAGGGATATTTGGGGCATTGAGACTATTCTGTATAACACTGTAATGGAGGATACATGTTATTGAACATCTGTCAAAACCCATAGAAATGTAAAACACACAGAGTGAACATTATGTGAACTATGGACTTTTAGTTTTAAAAAAAGGTAAAACCAAAAAAAAAAAAAAACCCAGAAACAAACCAGTATATGGTAATAAAACACAAGTCTAATACTTTTCTTGCTGTTTGTCAAAATTCTGTATACAGTAAAATAGTAACATTTATTGCGTCTAAAATGCCAGTTTCTATGCTAAGCACTTTATATATATCATGTCATTTAATCTTTACAGATCCCATTATTATCCTCATTTTAGTTAAAACTTACAAAAAGTTGTGGGACATAATATGTGCTTCTTTATTAACCTATTAAGTAACAAGTGGTCATCTAATAACTGCCATAATTTTGACGTGGTATTGAGTATAGATAATATTTTGAAACGTGCAACAAGTCATGTGATATAAAGATATCGGCAATATTTACAGGGGGCAAATCATAGCTACTGCTAATACTACTGTGGCTTTTGCCTACATTCCATTTCAGAAGTCGGTGAAATAATAATTTTTTCCACTCAAGTTCACAGACATCCTGAATTCTATCCATGGATACCTTATCGTGGACTCCCCAGGTTAATAATTCTGGCCAAGGTACTTAATACGCTGCCATATTTTGCAAGCCTCTAGGGAATCAAGAGAAAACCAGGCCAATACTTTATTTTGAATGGATTCTAATGTAGCCTCTTTTCAAGCTTTTGCAAAGAAACCTGAACTATGTAAGGAGATGGGGCAGGAGTTGTTTTCAGTATGCAGCATTGAGAGAAGTGTTTAAGAGTTTTATATCATTAAAGAGGCTCAGCAATATTAGGTTAGCGACGTTTTCTAATCCATTATTATTTAGGCTTTAAGGGCCTGAAGTCGAGTTGAATCTTGTTGAAAGACGGGGTAAAAGGATACAGGCGGGTGAGAGAGGATGCCCCTGAGTTTTAACGTCTGCATACAAGAGTCGCTAAAACTTACTCGCACGTAATTAGTTCAAATATTGGAAATCGTCTTACAGCACACTATAATTTACCAAGATGCTTATAACTGTATACACACACACACTCTACAGAGAATTAGACAATTAGCAGTTTCAATAATGAATACAGAGTCAACGACAAGAAAACAGGGAACATTTTCTCTTCCTTTGAGGAAATGCATGTTGCCTACTGAGCTATTCTTCTGCCTCTCCTTCTGATGTCAACGCAGAGCCAGAGCCATTTATGGCAGGTGCCTTGAGCCCGCCTAGAGGTCCCCTTTGGAATACTGCAGCGACTCAAGGATCCTGGTCAGCCCTTATTGGCCCCAGCTGGTCCTTTGGATGCTCGGGTGTGGGTGAAGGAGCCTCGGCCCCTGGAAAGGAGGGGACCGACTCTCTCCGCAGGTAGCGACGTCGCCTGCGGCCGGTCGGGGGTGGGTATTGGGGAGACCCCTTTACCTGGCGTCGAGAGGACCCCGGCGCCCCTGCTGCCATCCAGGTGCGAGGACAGCTCTGTCGCGCCCGCGGGAAGGACCGGCGAATCCGCGCGGGGGTCTCGGCGAGGACCGCAGCGGATGCTCCGCAGCTCCCGCACCGGCCTGGCGGGTTTTGTGGTTAGCAAGTTCCTGCTTCCGTCGCAGCGACGGCAAGTTTGCCGCGGGGGAAGGGCACGTTCCTGCCCTGCAACCCGGAGCTGCTTCCCGGCAACATTAGCGCGTCCCTCCCCGCGGAGGCTCCGGGCTCCCGGCCCCAGCGCTGAGCCCCGCAGGGAGGTGGCTCCCCCCACCGCCCCGCGCTCCCCCCCAGCTCAGCCACACCGCTGACCCCGGGCTGGGCGCGCTGCGAGGGGGAGTGCGTGCCTCCCTGCTGGTGGCCCGAGGGTCTGCAGGTGAGCCTTGCCTCGCGGCCCGCGCAAGTTAAAATAAATGCACATGGGGAAAATGTCAAACAGTACAAAAATAGACACAGAGACAAGTCTACCCCTCACCCCCGTGCCCCAGTCTCCTAGTCTCCCTCCTCAGAGGCAACCACTGAGAGCAGTTTTTTGATGTTCAAGGGCTTATAGTGCATCCTATTGGGGGCATAGTTCTGAGAATCCTCTTTCCATAATTGGAGGATGGAGTCCTCAATTAAAGATGGCAATTCTTGAGTTAAATATTATCTGCAAGACAAACTTCAGGGAAGGTATTTGGCTTTCTGCGGGATTTATTGTTTGTAGATAGGATAATAATGGTGAAAATGCTGGTGTCTGTAACATATATTAAAACTGTATCCCTAACACTTAGCATAGTGCCTGGTACACAATAGGTGCTCAGTAAATATTTAACTAAAATATTTTTGTTGACTGAATGAATGGAAAAGAACTGCATAGGGCATAGGTTGTGGAAGTTTCTAAATTACTGCTGGCCCCATCCCCACCTCCATAAACACACACACAAATGCAACGTTACTAAACCATTGACACTTAGTTTGCCATATGGTCTAACCTTTGACAGTATCTTCACCTCTGTTTTGAAAGAGCTTGCAGACCTGAAGCGCTATGCAATTGCAAGTTAAGTCTAGGCCTGTACGGCCAACAGCTACACACCCTAGTCTTAACCAATAACTACAGGAGGATTAGGTTGACTGAGAATGCTTGTGAACAAAGGTCCATTGTGTGAAACTAACTCTACTTGTAACCAAAGGATGACTCTTGAATTACAATGTTGCTAAAGCTAGGTTTGAAAGAGTTACCAAAGAAAAGTAAACACCAGAGTAATTTCCCATTGCAGTGATTTTCCTGATGCAACAAGGGACTGATCTGCAAGTGTGTTTTATCTTTTATCATCTGATACACTTCAGGGTTCAGGGTGTAGAGCTATCACAGTTTTTGAATCTCTCTACATGGGGTAATCCATGCTAGTTACAAAGTAGACCTTTCCATTATTAGAAACTTCGTATTCGGTGCTTTAATACAATGAACCTGTTTCTTTTTTTGTTTTGTTTTGTGTTTTGTTTGTTTTTAGAGACGGAGTCTCGCTGTGTTGCCCAGGCTGGAGTGCAGTGGTGTGATCTCGGCTCACTGCAACCTCCACCTCCCGGGTTATAGCAATTCTTTTGCCTCAGACTCCTGAGTAGCTGGGACTACAGGCACATGCCGCCACGCCCAGCTAATTTTTTTCTATTTTAGTAGAGATGGGGTTTCACCGTGTTGCCCAGGCTGGTCTCGAACTCCTGAGCTCAGGCAATCCGCCCGCCTCGGCGTCCCAAAGTGCTAGGATTACAGGCGTGAGCCACTGTGCCCGGCCTGAACCTGTTTTCATTGAAGTGATATGTTATTTTTTCAGTTATGACAGTGAACAAAGGATATTGATTAAAATAATGATTAAAGAAATATTTTCTATTATATATGTTTAATTTATAAATATCATTGTTTATTTATTCATTTTTTTAGACAGGGTCTCGCTCTGTTGCCCACACTGGAGTGCAATGGCACAATCACGACTCACTGCAGCTTTGACCACCTGGGCTCAAGTGATTCTTTTGCCTCAGTCTCTTGAGTAGCTGGGACCACAAACGCACACCACACCCAGCTAATGTTCTTAATTTTTTTTTTTTTTTTAATTTTGAGATGGAGTCTCGCTCTGTTGCCCAGGCTGGAGTGCAGTGGCACGATCTCAGCTCACTGCAACTTCTGCCTCCCAGGTTCAAGCAATTCTCCTGCTTCAGTCTCCTGAGTAGCTGAGATTACAGGCTCATGCCACCATGCCCAGCTAATTTTTGTATTTTTAGTAGAGTCGGGGTTTCACCATGTTGGTCAGGCTGGTCTTGAACTCCTGACATCAAGTGATCTGCCCACCTTGGCCTCCCAAAGTGCTGGGATTATAGGCGTGACCCACCGTACCCGGTGTTTTAAATTATTTGTATAGATGAGGTCTTGCTACATTGCCCAGGCTAGTCTCAAACTCCTGGGCTCAAGCAATCCTCCTGCTTTGGCCTCCCAAAGTGCTGGGATTACAGGTGTGAGCCACTGCACTTGGCTTACTTAAAAATAAAATAAAAACTTTAATTTCTGGCCTGAGTCATAACTTAGAAATTATATCCATTGTCACTTCATTTCCTGAAGAGATTCTTGACACTCTTCTCTGAGGGTTAGAAGTCCCATCTATGTGGAGAAAGATTTCTTTAAAAGTAATCGGAAAACATGTATTAAGCAGCCAGGCGCAGTGGCTCACGCCTGTAATCCCAGCACTTTGGGAGGCCGAGGCGGGTGGATCACGAGGTCAGGAGATCGAGACCATCCTGGCTAACATGGTGAAACCCTGTCTCTAATAAAAATACAAAAAATTAGCTGGGTATGGTGGCGCGCGCCTGTAGTCCCAGCTATTGGGGAGGCTGAGGCAGAAGAATGGTGTGAACCCAGGAGGTGGAGCTTGTAGTGAGCCGAGATCGAGCCACTGCACTCCAGCCTGGGTGAAAGAGTGAGACTCTGTCTCAAAAAACAAACAAACAAACAAACAAACAAACAAAAAAAAAAACATGTATTAAGCACCTGCAGGGGAAACTAAAGACCAGTAATACCAATGAGATCTACCTTTAAGATGTTCATAGTTCAGAAGGAGAAAAAGTAAATCAATGGCTGTGTAAACAGTTAAGTGTGATGAAGGCCAGGTGTAGTGGCTCATGCCTGTAATTCCAGTGCTTTGGGAAGCCAAGGCAGGAGGATCACTTAAGCCCAGGAGTTTGAGGCCAGCCTGAGCAGCATAGCAAGACTCCATCTCTACAAAAAATAAAAATTAGCATGGTGTGGTGGTACACGTCTGTAGTTTCAGCTACTTGGGAGGCTGAGACAGGAGGATCTCCTAAGAGCCTAGGAGGCTCTTAGGAGGCTGTAGTGAGCCATGATAGCATCACTGCACTCCAGCCTGGGCAACAGAGTGAGACCCTGTCCCTGCCCTCCCCAAGAAAAGAATAAATGTTATGATAGAAGATGGCAACTAAAAAGGCTCAGAGAAGGGACATCTGATCCCAATTTCTGGGAAGAGGTGTTAATTATTGAAGAATGAAGTTATTAGCAGATGAGGAGGAAAAGGCTGAATATTTCAGGAATAGGAAACTGCATGACCACAGGAAATTCAGCCTGTTAGGAAGGTTACCAGTGTACACAGAAGAATAGAGAGAGAGGCTGGGGTCAGAGCAGGAAGGTTTTCATATGTTAAATCTTAAACTTTATCCTAAAGGCATGGGGAGTTCCTGAAGGCTTTTTGTAGGGCAGTGACAGGTCCAGAGACCTAATTAATATTCTAGAAAATTATCTCTACCTGCCACAGGAGGGATGGATTGAGGGACGTGAGGCCAGAGGCCTCTCTTCCAAGAAACGGAAGTGATAAGGCCCTGAAATGGGCATGCAGATAGAGGAGAAATTAAGAGGAGAGGCTCTCCAGGACACAACGATTGGTTGGATGCAGTGCTGACAGTAAGCAGGCTTCTGGCTTGGGAGCCTGGTTGGGTGGGAGTACCAGGTCATATAAAGACACGGGAAGAGGAGTCAGTCTGGAGTGGACAGAGGCATGATGAGTTTTGAAAACGTGAATCCTGGTTTTATCACTCACTAGTTGTGTGACCAAGAATAAATCACTTAACTTTTCTGTAAAATTAGGAAAGTGGTATCTACTTTACACGCAGGTCATAATATAGACCTTTTTATGCAGGTCTAACATATAGACCTGCAGACCTGTAAACTCAAAAAGGCTGTTCAATTGCTAGTTATTACATATACAATAACACAGTTTGCTGCTCATGTAGAAGGGATTTTAAAGGTGCTAAAAGACATCAATCTGAAATGTTTCCTAGCTATAAAGCTCTTCCAGCAGACTCCTTATGTTATATAAATGCTCATTTAATTTTCTTGCCACCAGACTGTAAGCTTCCTAAGTACAGGGATTGGGCCTTGTTGAATTTTTTATTTTTAACGTGTAGCAAGTGCCTAGAACATTTCAGGTTCCCAAGAAATGTTAAGCCAGTGAAGGAAGGAATTTTATCTTCATATGTTCTTTTACTGAATATAGCTTTATGGATATGGAATTTGTATACCATACAATTTACCCTGGTAAAGTGTACTCTACAGTGGTTTTTAATATATTCAGAGTTGTGCATTCATCATTACAATTTTAGAACATTTTCATCAACCCCAGAAAGAAACCCCATACCCAATAATAGTCTACATTTCCCTTCCACCCGTACCCCTCCTCGGCCTTAGGCAACACTAACATATTTCTCTCTCTGTAGTGCTTCTCCTGGACATTTCATATAAATGAAATCTACAATATGTGGTCTTTTGTGATACGCTTTGTTTTTTTTTTTTTTGAGACGGAGTCTTCGCTCTGTCGCCCAGGCTGGAGTGCAGTGGTGCGATCTCTGCTCACTGCAAGCTCCGCCTTCTGGGTTCAAGCGATTCTCCTGCCTCAGCCTCCTGAGTAGCTGGAAATACAGGCGCCCGCCACCACGCCCGGCTAATTTTTTTTGTATTTTTAGTAGAGACAGGATTTCAGTTTGTCAGCCAGGATGGTCTCAATCTCCTGACCCCGTGATCCGCCCGCCTCGGCCTCCCAAAGTGCTGGGATTACAGGCGTGAGCCACCGCACCCGGCCTGACAGGCCTTTTTCATATTGAATAATGTTGTCAAGGTTACTCTATGTTGTAGCATGTATCAGTATGATTTCATCCTTCCCTCATTTTGGCTGAATAAATATTCCATGATTACCACACTTTATTTATCCATTCATCAGTTGATGCGACAGACTATCCTTTTAAGAATGAAATGTTTATTCAAAAGGAAGCATAAAAAACACCATCACATCAGTATGGACTGGTGTATGGAACACAAGACAAATATACTTTTATGTGGAAAAGGGGAAACAAGAACCAGAATGAGTTATTCTCCATTCCTCACCCCTTTTACCTCCTCTCTCACCTTCCCCTCAAAGAGGAAATCTGGGAGGGGATGCAAGGACTCTCCAAAAGGGAATGGTCTCACTGCTTAGTGGGCCCTTCCCAGTCCCATCAGCCTGGTGTGGTTTATGTAAACCTCAAGACTAGTTAGACACAACTTTCTAGAAGCCTGCCCTGATCTCTCAGGCAGTTTTTAGTTCTATCTTCATATTCCCAGAGAACACTGTACTTAGATTCATTTGCATTTTTCTCATTGTATTGCAATGGTGAGCAGAGGAAAGAGCATCAGATAGTCCTAAATAGTTCGACCACTGACCACCTGCTGACCATGGAGGAGTCACCTACTTACAGGCTGCAGGGTTGTTGTGAAAATTAAATAAGGTAAAATAGGGGAAATTATTGTGATATAGTAGAGTGGAAGGGACTTAAAAATCATTTAGTCAACTTGACACTTCTTCTGAGACTTTTTTTTTTTTTTTTTTTTTTGAGACGGAGTCTCGCTCTGTCGCCCAGGCTGGAGTGCAGTGGCGCGATCTCGGCTCACTGCAAGCTCTGCCTCCCGGGTTCACACCATTCTCCTGTCTCAGCCTCCCGAGTAGCTGGGACTACAGGCGCCCACCATCATGCCCGGCTAATTTTTTGTATTTTTTAGTAGAGACGGGGTTTCACCATGTTAGCCAGGATGGTCTTGATCTCCTGACATCGTGATCTACTCGCCTCAGCCTCCCAAAGTGCTGGGATTACAGGCGTGAGCCACCCCGCCTGGCCAGAGACTACATTTTATACATATAAAATCTCAAGGCATTTACTTGAAATTTCTTGACGCAGACAATGTAATATAAAATGAGTTGCAAAGTTCGGAGAACGCTAGAGCCAGCTAACTCCTTGATGGCATTGCATTGCTAGGTCTACTTTCTTGCCCTAGCAAAAATGGCAGTTTCCTTTCTGGATTACTCCCTCCTCACCTTCTGTTAGTTTCAGAGTGACTTGTTGATAACTGCCAAGGTCCCCAGAAAGCGCCTAGCCAAAAAGGTTCTTCACTTCTCTTTAAAGATGTGCACTCCCTAATACATGAAACAGCATTTTCTATTTCTTAATTTTTCTCTCATTTCCAGCTGCTGCTTTCACCGTCTTCTGGTATTTTTTTGTTTGGTCGTCCACTGCTAAACTCCCAGCTCTTCAGAATTCAAAATGAGCTTTGCATCCAAGCTGTTGTGGGTTCGAATCCTGGGTCTATCTAGCGTTTCTTTCTCCATCTGTAAAACAGGGTTAAAAATACCTATTTTGTAAAGTTGTTCTCACATGTGGGTATTGAAGAGCTTAATAGTGTGGGTGGTGTTTTAAAGGTGACGCATCCTTACAACAGGAAAGGGCTTACCCTCTTCCGCAGTTCTGGCTTCGAGGAGGTCAAGCCCTTTAAGGTGGCATCGCCCTAAGTCGCAGGAGCGGGTCTCTCCGCCCCTCCCTCGGGCCGGGGGGCGGGGCCTCCTAATCCGGAACTGAAGGTCTTGCGTAGCCGGCACCGCCCATCTGCGTCCCGGAAGGAGCGAGCTTGCGGAGCGTGAACCAGTGAGTGAAAGCGGCGCCGCCCGCCGGCCGCAGGTGCGGCAAAGCCAGTGTCATCTGCCGGTTCTCTTAGGGCTCCCGGAAAGAAGGAGGGCTAGCCGCGTGCGTTCGCGCCGCGCCTCCTTGCGTTTCTGTTCCCCAAATAGGGCCTCTCCTTCTCCCGCCGCCCAGGCCCCTGCGTGGGCTGGACGCGTCAGCCCCACACATTAGCCTCGCTGCGGCGCCCAGACTCTGCTTTGCCTCCCCGTCCCGGTCCCTGGCCCCTGCCCTGTCGCCCGCCGCCGGAGCGGTGACCGCCCGGCCCGCCGTTCTTCTGCTGCCACCGCTGTCGGCACCATGGGCAGTGAGCAGAGCTCCGAGGCCGAGAGCCGACCCAACGATCTGAACTCCTCAGGTCGGTGTCCTAACCTCCCACCCTCCTCCAGCCCGCCCTGTCCCCTTGCAGAGCGGGCTGCCTCCCAGACTAGGGTCAGGGACTGCGGACGGGAACGCACAGAAAAAGCCTTCACCGTGCTAGTAGGAAAAAAAAAAAGTCACCATCTGTCCTGGCCTCGATTCCCCTGATGGAAGTGCGTGTGACTGCAAGCTAAGCCAGCGTGGGCGCCAGTGCCCTTATTTATTTTCAAAACAGCCGTTTCTCCCAGCTACAGCCTCCTGTTTAAAAGACGAGCTAATTAATTTTTGGCTCTAGTGCTCATGGCTGATGTAGTGAGATTTGGCTCACACAGTGGATGGATTATAGGACCTCTAAGAACAGTCTGTTTCTTAAAAACGGGTGTTAGAGGTTCCTTTTCTGAAGGGATATGTGATAGGTGTCCACTTGCTTTGAACCCTTTAGTGCAAAGGTCTCCAGAAACAGCTTTTTCTTCTCAGAAGGTGTCTTGGTCCGTTTTCTAATCTTGTAGAGGTTGGCCAGACAGCAGGCACTGGTGTTTTCCATTGTTGTTCTCTGTCCATGATTTTTAGACTTCTCTAAGCGTTTGAGACAAGAATGGGAGGATTATTGTGTTTGCAATACAGTGAGTGTTCAATAAATAGATAAAGCAGCTGATGTTTAATTGAGGACCATTTGCTGCTTTTTTTGTTACCCACACGCTAGGACAGCTGGGAGTGCTTTGGTTAAGCTCCGGGGTTGCTAACGCAAATTGGTTAAATCTGGGGCCTAAAAAGAGTCGCCGATTTTAGAAGTTCTCTGTTCTTGATAGGAGCTGTAATTCAGAAATAGGCAAGCTAATAGATCTAAGGGTGTTTCACTTTAAGGTGTGACTTTCAAGACTAGTTCAGACCTACATTCTGGGGACTGGATTGGGGCAGCTTTGAATGGTGAGCAGCATCTACTAGCTTTGCTACGTTTTTCTATTTCCTTGGAAGGGCCAGAGTGTCATATCTGTTATAAGAAATATAATAATTGCCACCTTTGACATTCTTGCCTCTATGGCAGGGCAGAAACATATTTTAGGGGGAAGCGGTGTGGCATCTTTTTAATTTGTTTTCTTGCCCATGAACCAACAGCATTCGAGCATTTCCGATGTTAGAATTTGCCTATTCCCCTGTGCCCGGTACTTTACATACATTTACATATAATTTTTGCAGTAATCCCATTTTACAGATAAAGTAGTAGAGGTTAGCTAGAGTGTTTTGAAGTCCCCTTTCCTCTGGTATCTGGGGAAGGAGGAATCACAATTTATAGCAGGAAAGATTTCTGGCATGGCTTTTGTAAAATGTTAGGTAAATTACCAAAACAGGTAAATAAATATTTCTTGAAAAGAAATAAAAGCAGCAGAGATTTTTCTAGAAGAGTGAATGCCAAGCCTCCGGAGACGAGCTTCTAGGAGGCAGAACAGTTCTATGGCATCCCTGGATTAACCTTTGAGATATGACTATAATGAGCCTGGGAATATTACCTTCTAGAGCATAAAACACTTTAAAGATTCATTCTTGTCCCAGTCTGGAAGATATTTGGGGGAGAGGATGATTTCTTGGTCTAGGGAGTCCTTTATAATTTGAATCACTTCCCTCCAAATGGATTACTTTCTCCCAAGGAACCTGAATTGATCTCCCTCTTTGTCCTCCAAATTTCTGATTTTTGCCTCAGCCTAGAATGGACTTACTGGCTATTTTTGCCCTGGACTAATGCTATAATTTTAAGAGTGAGGGGGCTGTAGTCCTAGCTACTCAGGCCCAGGTGGGAGGATTGCTGGAGCCCAGGAGTTTAAATCCAGCCTGGGCGATGTAGTGAGACTTGACTCTTTTTTTTTTTTTTTTTTTGAGACAGTCTCACTGTCACCTAGGCTGGAGTGCTGTGGCATGATCTTGGCTCACTGCAACCTCCGCCTCCCGGATTCAAGCAATTTTCCTGCCTCAGCCTCCCAAGTAGCTGGGATTACAGGGACATGCCACCACGCCTGGATAATTTTTGTATTTTTAGTAGAGATAGGGTTTCACCATGTTGGCCAGGCTGATCTCGAACTCCTGACCTCAAGTGATCCACCTGGCTTGGCCTCCCAAAGTGCTGGGATTACAGGCGTGAGCCACCGTGCCCAGCCGCCTTGACTTAAAAAAAAAAAAAAAAGAGTGAGGAGGCTGAAGCCTCGGGAATAGGCCAGTCATTCGGGGGTTGAGAACAGGTTTTTTTCCTGGACTTACTAAACATAGCTGGCTTGATGTGGTAGGGTGGATAGACAGCTTTGCAACTCCAGTGTCGCAGAGATGGGCCTTGTGTACCAATAACTTGTAGATGTCTAATTCCTTTCCTAACTGTCTAGCACTGCTGACTTTGGGCAAGTCACAGTTAAATTTTGTACCCTTTATTTCTCATTTTAGAAATAGGGAGATATATATATATATCTCAAGATAGCAGGAGAATTAAAGAGAAAGTAAAAACAATCTGCCTATACTTTTGTGTGCTGAAAAAGAAAATATTTAGTTATGAAAGAAGTTCATTCATGTTATATAATCCTGTAATGGGCTGGGCGTGATGGCTCACACCCGTAATTCTAGCACTTTGGGAGGCCGAGGTGGGTGGATCACGAGGTCAGGAGTTCGAGACCAGCCTGGCCAATATGGTGAAACCCCATCTCTACTAAAAATACAAAAATTAGCCAGATGTGGTGGTGCATGCCTGTTGTCCTAGCTACTCAGGAAGCTGAGGCAAGAGAATTACTTGAACCCAGGAGGCGGAGGTTGCAGTGAGCCGAGATTGCACCACTGTACTCCAACCTGGCGACAGAGCGAGGCTCTGCCTCAAAATAAAATAAAATCCTGTAATGTCTGAGGGTTTTTGTTGTTGTTGTTGTTTTGTTTTTTGAGACTCTTGCTGTCTTACCCATGCAGTGGTGTGATCATGGCTCACTGTGGTCTTGACCTCCTGGGCTCAAGTGATCCTCCCATCTCAGCTTCCTGAGTAGCTGGGACTACAGTGTGCACCACCACATCTGACTAATTAAAAGAAATTTTTTTTTTTTTTTTTTTTTTTTTTAGAGATAGGGTCTCACTATGTTGCCCAGGTTGGTCTTGAACTCCTGGACTCTGGTGATCCTCCCACTCAGCCTTTCAAAGTGCTGAGATTACAGGCATGAGCCACCACACCCAGCCTGAGGTGGCGTTTTTGTTTGTTTGTTTTTGAGACAGAGTCTCACTCTGTTGCCCAGGCTCAAGTGCAGTGGCACGATCTTGGCACACCGCAACCTCCGCCTCTCGGGCTCAAGTGATTCTCCTGCCTCAGCCTCCTGAGTAGCTGGGATTACAGGCACCCGCCACCATGCCCCGCTAATTTTTGTGTTTTTAGTAGAGACAGGGTTTCGCCATGTTGGCCAGGCTGGTCTTGAACTGCTGACCTCAGGTGATCTGCCCACCTCGGCTTCCCAAAGTGCTAAGATTACATGCATGAGCCACCGTGCCTGGCTCCAGCCTGAGCTTTTAAAAATACTATAGAAAACAGTTTCTATAATTCATCCCTGCCACCCCAACCCCAACTGCAAGATAGCTACATTTTATAAAATTATTCTTTTTAATCACTACACCAAAAACTGCTTTGGTGAGGCAGAGATGCCTAATATGCATCTCCTAAGCAGTGTAACTTTATTTTCAGTGACTCCTTCACCAGCCAAGCATAGAGCCAAGATGGATGATATTGTGGTTGTAGCTCAGGGCTCCCAGGCCTCACGGAACGTCAGCAACGATCCCGATGTCATCAAGTTGCAAGAGATTCCAACCTTCCAGCCCCTTTTGAAAGGTAAAGGATTGCGTTTTGTTTTATCTGAACTTGCTGGAGACGTTTGTGTAGCCCTACTACTTTCCCTCTACTTATCCATGTATCTTGCTCTCTCATCTCCTTTAGGTCTTTGCTTAAATGGCATCTTCTCAGTGAAGCCTTTCTTGATTTCCTTAATTAAAACTGCAGCCCCTTTGCCTACCTGTTTTTCTCTATAGCACTTAATTATCATTGACCTATTGCAAATATCTTTATCTGTCTATATTTCTCTGCTAGAATGTGAGCTCCATGATGGCAGGTATTTTCTCTTTTGCTCACTGTTGAATTCCCAGCACGTGAAATATAATCTGGTATAAGATAGGGACTAAGTGAATGAATGAGGTTGGAAATGGCCCTTCCCTGTTATATTCCCATGGAAAGATTTTCATTCTTATTTGTGATCTGGACAGTGGGTGGACTAGTTCAGATCCATAGAGAAAAATCTCCATCACTACTGATACACTCGTAATTAATCCTGGCGGCAGTTTTATATGAGAGTGTGTGTTTGAGAAGAGAGATTACCCACCCAATTAGCATATACTGTGGTAGTTACCTTTTGAACGAAGGCCACAACTTTATTATTTTTGTATCTCTATTAAGTAGTGGAGATTATTTTATATTAACTGGTGTTTCTGCTGTAAGAGTCCTTCAGTTCTCTCCTCCCTCACCCCCACCAAAGATTAGGAAATAATGAACATAAGGCCCTGGTTTACTTAACTTGGTATAATACAGTGTAAAACATCTTACATTTACATAGCTATTTGAATTAAAATGCCCCTCCTCATACACATATCATCCCTTTAATTCTTACATCATTAAATGTGTTTCAATGATTGGGGTAAGATAAGCTTCTTATAAGCCTTTTATAAGGCAGCTGGCATACACAGAGGTTGTACTTGAACCTTCTTCATTGATGTCAAATCCTATATTACACTGTTCCACACTATTTAGAAAACAAAAACAAATGGTGCTTTATAGATGATCCATATATTGTCTTATTCTTACCAGTGCTTCATCTGTTTCATAAATAAGGAAATACAAGCTTTCAGTTTCTTTTTTATTATTATTTAAGTTTTAGTGTACATGTGCACAACATGCAGGTTTGTTACATATGTATACATATGCTATGTTGGTGTGCTGCACCCATTAACTCGTCATTCACATTAGGTATATCTCCTAATCAATTTCTTCCCTACAGGCCTGAGAGTTAGACTTTGGTAAACATTCTGGCTCTTATGTAAAACAACACATTATATCATGTTACTCATCTTTTTTTTTTTTTTTTTTTTTTTTTTAGAGTTTTGCTCTGTCACCCAGGCTGGAGTGCAATGGCTTGATCTTGGCTTACTGCAACCTCCACCTCCCAGGTTCAAGTGATTCTCCTGCCTCAGCCTCCTGAAGTAGCTGTGATTACAGATGCCTGCCACCACGCCAAGCTAAATGTTTTTATTATTATTATTTTTAGTTGAGATGGGGTTTCACCATGTTGGCCAGGCTGGTCTCGAACTCCTGACCTCAGGTGATCCACCCACCTCGGCCTCCCAAAGTGCTGGGATTACAGGCGTGAGGCACCTTGCATGGCCTACTCATCTTCTTAGTTTTCATGATTTTGAGGAATAATGTGATTCTCTAAAGAAGTTAACAATAGTAGGGCATGGTGGCTCACACCTGTAATTCCAGCACTTTGGGTGGCTGAGGCAGGAGGATCACTTGAGTCCAACAGTTCAAGACCAGCCTGGGCAACACAATGAGACTCTGTCTCAACAGATAATACAAAAAATTAGCCAGGCATGGTGGCACATACCTGTCGTCCCAGCTAGTTGGGAAGCTGTTGTAGAAGGATCGCTTGAGCCCAGGAGGTCAAGGGTGCAGTGAGCAGTAGTCATGTCAGTACACTTCAGCCTAGGTGACAGAGTGAGATCCTGCCTCAAAAGAAAAAAAAAAAAAGCCGGCCAGGCGCTGCGGCTCATGCCTATAATCCCAGCACTTTGGGAGGCCGAGGTGGGTGGATCACCTGAGGTTAGGAGATCAATACCAGCCTGGCCAACATGGTGAAACCCCATTTCTACTAAAAATACAAAAAATTAGGCCGGGCGCAGTGGCTTACGCCTGTAAAACAGCACTTTGGGAGGCCAAGGCGGGTGGATCATGAGGTCAGGAGATCGAGACCATCCTGGCTAACACGGTGAAACCCTGTCTCTACTGAAAGTACAAAAAAAATTAGCCGGGTGTGGTGGCGGGTGCCTGTAGTCCCAGCTACTTGGGAGGGTGAGGTAGGAGAATGGCATGAACCTGGGAGGCAGAGCTTGCATTGAGCCAAGATTGTGCCACTGCACTCCAGCCTGGGTGACAGAGCAAGACTCCATCTCAAAAAAAAAAAATTAGCTGGGTGTGGTGGTGTGCACCTGTAAACCCAGCTACTCAGGAGGCTGAGGCAGGAGAATTGCTAGAACCAGGAGATGGAGGTTGCAGTGAGCTGAGACTACCACTTCATTCCAGCTTGGGCAACAACAGTGAAACTCCATCTCAGAAAAAAAAAAAAATCTGCATATAACTTTCAACTTAGCCAAAACTTAACTACTAATAGCCTTCTGTTTACTAGAGGCCTTACTGATAGCATAAACAGTTGATTAACACATCTTTTGTGTTATATGTTATTATATACTATATTATTACAATAAAGTAAACTAGAGAAAAGAAAATGTATTAAGAAAATTATAAGGAAGGCCAGGCACAGTGGCTCATGCCTGTAATCCTAGTACTTTGGGAGGCCGAGGAGGATGGATCACTTCAGGTCAGGAATTCGAGATCAGCCTGGCCACCATGGTGACACCCCATCTCTACTAAAAATACAAAAATTAGTTGGGTGTGGTGGCGTGCAGCTGTAGTCCCAGCTACTTGGGAGGCTGAGGCACAAGAATCGCTTGAACCCGGGAGGCAGAGGTTGCAGTGAGCCAAGATCATGCCACTGCACTCCAGCCTGGGTGACAGAGTGAGACTTGGTCTCAAAGAAAAATAAAATTATAAGGAAGAGAAAGTATATTAACTATTCATTAAGTGGAAGTAGATCATCAGAAAGATCTTCATCATTGTCTTCACGTTGAGTAGGCCGAGAAGGAGGAAAAGGAGGGGTTAGTTTTGCTGTCTTAGGGGTGGCAGAGGCAGAAGAAAATCTACGTATAAGTGGACCCACGTGGTTCAGACCCATGTTGTTGTTCAAGGGTCAGCTGTAATTCGTTTTATGATAATCACTAGTAGGGGAAATATCTAGAAGACTTGGTGTTAAGGGAAGCTAACCTCAGATTTGAAGTCATCACTGAGGGCTGGCCATGGTGGCTCACGCCTGTAATCCTAGCACTTTGGAAGGCCAAGGCGGTTGGATCACCTGAGCACAGGAGTTTGAGACTAGCCTGGCCAACATGGCAAAACCCTGTCTCTACAAAAGATACAAAACTTAGCCGGGCATGGTGGTGGGCACCTGTAGTTCCAGCTACTCAGGAGGCTGAGGTGGGAGTATCGCTTGAGCCCTAGAGGTGGAGGTTGCAGTGAGCCAAGATTGCATCACTGCACTCCAATCTGGGCAACAGAGCAAGACTCTGTCTCAAAATAAATAAATCATCACTGAGTGCCCTGAAAGTGAATAATTAATGTGATGCAGTTAATGCAATGCAACTGGACCTGGTTGCATTGATAAATGAGTTTTAACTGGGACTTTGCCACCAACTATTATGTTGTCTGGCTTTGTTTTTCCACCTTTTTGAGCCTTGGTTATTAAGAACATTGAGAATAGGTGAGGAAGGAGGAAGGCTAGTAAGGAGCAGATTATAGGAAGAGGTTATCGGGGATTTGGTTAAGGAAGGTAGAGATGAGATCATGGCTCACTCCAGCCTCCACCTCCTGGGCTCAAGCGATCCACCCATCTCAGCTTCCAGAGTAGCTGGGACTAGAGTGTGCACCACCACACCCGGCTAATTAAAATACATTTTTTTTTTTTTTTGTAGAGACAGGGTTTCAC
This sequence comes from Homo sapiens, assembly GCF_000001405.40. Taxonomy (NCBI): domain Eukaryota; kingdom Metazoa; phylum Chordata; class Mammalia; order Primates; family Hominidae; genus Homo; species Homo sapiens. Next base: position 334,381 of record NW_011332696.1, read on the forward strand.
TATGTTGCCCATGTTGGTCTTGAGCTCCTGGACTCCAGTGCTCCTCCCACCTTAGCCTCCCAAAGTGCTGAGACTACAGGCATGAGCCACCATGCCCGGCCCGAGTTTCAAAAAATACTATAGAAAATAGTTTGTATAATTCATCCCCCCCACCCCAACCCCCACTTGATGAGAGTGGCGTGAATCTAGAAATGACAACATGTGGCTGTGGCCAGACTATAGCAAACAAAAAGCCAGTGAGCATTGAAGGTGATGCTCATGTTTCACTTGTGAAGACGAAACATCTTGGGCCGTGATTAGGAAAGATAGGCAAAGGGGGTGGAAATGATAAGTTTAATTATGATAATAGTATCTTATCCCCCATGCTTCTACATAATAGCTATTGTTCTTTCTGTTTTTATAGATTAAAATATTGAGGCCTAGAGAGCTTAAATTAATTGCCTAAAGTCACATGGCTGTAAGTGATAGCACATTTTAAGATTGCATCAGGACATAGAATAAGACTTAGTTTCCAATTCTAGCAAAGCCCATTATAGAAATCACTAGGATATACAGGAACTAGCGTGGTGGGTATGAGGTTGTTTGGGTTTTGAGGTGCAGCATTTGTTGCAGAGCCTCCTGCTTTGACGTTGTTCTGCCTGATAATTAAAAGCCCTACCCTCTGCCTGCTGGGCTGCTGCAGGGGCCAGGCATCACTGTCGCCTTTATACTCTGACTCTTTTTTCCCCCTTTCCTGCTTTCAGGATGAGGCCATTCCTCAAAATAGTAAAAAGGCCACACAGTGAAGCCTGTACCCCCCAGGTTTGATTTCAGAAAGCTTTTATTCAACTTAATGACAGTTTATTCTTTCAAAACAATATATTGAAGTATTACACAGAGTTCACTATTGTTTCATAATGTCATATGATGTAATGCTAATGCTGGTGGGTGATCTGCAGAGGCAGTGGCTGGGCGAGTTTGGGGCTATTTGTATGACTGAGGTAATGTTTGCATTTTTAATAAGCAAGCAGATTCTTTCTTTGGCCTTAACCCTTTTGCATAAATATACCAGAGTATAATTTATGCTCCATAATCCAAATATCTGTTCCTTTTTTTATCAAAGGGATTTCTGTTTTTCATAGCAATGTCTGAATTAGTAATTTATTTTGACATGTAAAGCATTTTATAGGAAATGAAAGATTAGAAAATTAGAAAGTAGCTACAAATGGCTGTGACAGAACACAAAGGCAAAATAGTAGATTTGATGTAAGTTAGCAAGATTCCAAGAAGTTAACAAACCCTGTATAGATTTCTTACTTGAAATTCAACCACTCATATTTTTTAATGAATCCCACTCTATTGTATGTCATTCTAAAGAAATGAAATATTTGCAAGAGAAAAGTAATATGGTTGGTGTTTTATATATAAAGTTACAAAAATAATTATTCACTCTTAGTAGATGAATATGTGCATATTTACACACATGCATGCATGTGACATTCTTTCCAACCGATCTGTCATTTTTGTTACTGACCTTGGATACAACGTAAGAGATTGTATTGCTGCCTATGGAAGGGGCTGTTTTTGTTAATAACAAGGATGATCAAACATATACAGTGTAGATACTGAAGTGATACTAAGCAGCTTTGTTGGGAGTTTGGTGTTTGGTTGTTAAGAACATGATGCATGTGAAGTAGATTTTGATAATTAAAAGGAGCCTGGGGCTTTTCATAGTGGAGCGAAATCTCATGGAACAGCAGTGAAAGCTTTCAAATCACATGGAACATTGAGAACTGGAACCTGAAAGTGTAGCTAGGGAAGAATGAAGCAATGGAAAAAGGGCGATAAGGAGAGCATGATGGAGCTAGATTTCAAATGACCAGTTTCTTCACATTCTTCTGTCATCTGGACAAATAAAAGTCTTTGCATTCATCAGATGTCTGCCTCTACCAGCTGTCAGACCTTATCATTGCATTGGAAAATGGCAGCCAAAGGAGGGGACAAGAGAATGGATCTTAATCAGAGCCACAGTCTTCTCTGAATGGCTTAAAGGTAATCTCTAAACCCAGGGGTAATCCTAAGTATATTTTCTCCCAAATACCATATTGGAAAGATTGATGACTTATTCCTGATTACTTTATGGGTTTGTATTTGTAATAGCTCTTCAGTTAAGCTTTTAAACATGGCTATTCAGAGAAGTGTGAGTTGTGTGTAAAAACAAAAACAAAAATAAACATAGCTGTTTACCAGCATTGGGTTAGCCTTACTCAGAAGAGTGGGAAGTACCAGGTGAATGGTTGCTTTCAACCGATTGAGAAAGTGAAGCTGTCTCACCAGAACACCCTCATCTTTTCCCTTACTCCCATAAATCTCTGTGTGCCTGCATCCATTCTTGTTTCTTTCCATTAAGTCTCAGATGAGGTATTCATGCCTTTCTCTGAAACTTAATGCCATTCTGTTTCACTCTTTCCATTTGCTGGGACTTTGCTCCTGTCCTTTTCTCTTTTTGTCTCGCAACTAGCTTAGTGGACCTCTTTCCTCTTGTTCAGATATACAGCTCTTCCCATCTTAAAAACAGAAGACGAACACTTTCTTTCAATTCAGTTGCCCTCTTGGCTACCACGCTTTCTCTGTTCTCATTTCTGCTGCCAAACTTACTGACTCCATGGGTGCTACATGCTGTCCCTGCTTCCTTGATACCTCTGCCATTTGGGAAGTTCCCCTGGACAGGCTCTCATATACATAACTTCATCCATATTTGCTGCTTTGGAGGATTACTAGTGTTTTCTTTTCATGCTTGAAGTTTTTTTCTCAGTCCACATCCTCCTCTTCTTTTCCGTATTTAACATAGGTTTCTATCCCACTTGTTAAAACTCCCTTCCTTTAGTTTATGATACCTCCCCACCCAGTGGTATTCTGTTTTGTTTTTTTTTTTTTAATCTACTGGTTAGTCTCTATTCCTCTCTGCACAGCATTTTGCCTAGTGCTCTTTTGGAAAAACAAGATTCTAAGGCGCTTTAAGTATTCTGAAATGTAGCCATTAAGATGATTTTAAGTCTCTGTCATCAACTTCAACTTTTTTTTCTTTTCCTTCTTCTTTTTTTTGAGATGGGGTCTTGATCTGTCATCCAGGCTGGAGTGCAGTGGCACAATCATAGCTCACTGCAGCCTTGACCTCCCGGGCACAAATGATCTTCCAACCTCAGCCTCCCAAGGAGCTGGGACCACAGATGTACCACACCTGGCTAATTTTTTTTTTTTTTTTAATTTAGAGATGGGGTGTCACTCTGTTGTCCAAGCTGGTCTCAAGCCCTGGGCTCAAGCAGACCTCCCATCCTGGCCTCCCAGAGCACTGAGATTACAGGTGTGACCCACTGCACCTGGCCAGCTTCAACTCCTTGTTCTGTTTGTCCATCATCTTGCTCTGTTTGTCTATACAGTCGCTTTAAATTCAGCGTATTCCATCTTCCACTTGTGTATTATGTATTTATTCATTTTATTTATTCAACAAACACTGGATCTTCTTAGGCAAGTAGTGTACACTTGAAAAGAATGTGTTCTGTAGTTAATGGGTATAGTGTTCTATAAATATCACTTAGGTCAAGAAATGGTGATGTTCAAATCTTGTGTGTGCATATTGATTTATTTCATTAATTTGATCACTTAATGAAAGAGAGGTATTCAAATATCCAGCTATTTTTGTTAATTTGTCTATTCTGGTTATTCCATTGGTTTCTACTTTGTGTGTTTTGAAAGTCTATTATTAGGCATATATGCATTAAATATTATTATATTGATCCTTCCGTCTTTATGAAAATGTGCTACCTATGTGTTATTACCCCTGTCTTGTAGTCTAATTTGTTTTCTATCAATATAGCCACTCCAGCTTTCTTACACTTACTATTTGCATAGTATACCTTTTACTATTCTTTACTTATTTTTATCGATTTATGTCTTTATATTTAAAGGGCATCTCTTGTAGACAGCATATAGTAGGGTCTTGCTTTTGTATTTAGGCTATCGTCTGCTTTTTAATTGGTGTGTAAATTGATATGGTTGGATTTAGGTCTCCCATTTTGCTCTTCATTTTCTATTTGTGCTGTGTGCTTTTGGTTACTTTCATACTCCTTTCCTGCTTCCTTGCATTACAAAAATTTTTTTTTAGTATGTATTCCATTTTAGTTTCTTTTCTGGCTCTTTAAGTTATACTCCTTTGCATTATTTTTTTAGTGGTTGCTCTAGAGGTTACAATATAGTCTTGATATTTATTATAGTTCATTTAGAATTACTATTGTATCACTTCATGTAAAATGTAGGAAACTTTCAATGGTGTGGTTTCATTCACCCCCCACTTCTTTTTTTTTTTTTTTTTTTTTTTTTTTTTGAGAAAAAGTCTTGCTCTGTGGCCCAGGAGGGAGTGCACTGGCACAATCTCAGCTCACTACAACCTCTGCCTCTCCAGTTCAAGTGATTCTTGTGCCTCAGCCTCCCGAGTAGCTGGGACTACAGGTGTGCGTCACCATGCCTGTCTAATTTTTTTATTTTTAGTAGAGATGGGGTGTCACCATGTTGGTCAGGCTGGTCTCGAACTCCTGACCTCAGTTGATCTGCCTGCCTCAGCCTCCCAAAATGCTGGAATTACAGGCATGAGCCACCACGCCCGGCCCACCTTCACTTCTTTGTGCTATTGCTTTCATATATATTGCATCTACATACGTTAGAAATCCCATAGTGGTTTTATACACACACACACACACACACACACACACACACACACGTTTTTGTTTTAATAATATATTTTTTGAAGTGATTAAGAGAAGAAAATAACTATATATAGAATGTGATGTTTACCCACATAGTTAACATTTCCAGAATTCCTAATCCCTTTCTCCAGTTTCCATTTGATGTCATTTATTTTTAGTTTAAAGGACTTCTTTTAGCATATCTTGCAGTACAGGTCAGCTGGAAAAAAGTCCTGTTTTTATCTATCTGAACTTTTTTTTGCCCACTTTTGTTATAAAGTCATTTTTTGGTGTAATTACTAAGTTTTTGAAGACATATTGTGAGACTCCATGAAATCTCATTTTTTAATCTACCTTTATTTCATCAGTTATAATATCTATTGATGATTCTTGCTTGAATTAATTATGCTGTGATGGCTACCAAATAACTGTTTTCTAAATTTTTCATTCCTTCTACATTTATTAGTTTATATTCTATTGGAAGGAATAGGTTTCTCATCTCCCCATTTATTTATTCAAATCAGTGCGGGAACAGTCAGCTCCTATTTTATCCAATGAGTTGTATGTAATCTGTTATTATCATTATTTCTTTTTCAATCTCAAAATGTTCCAAAATTGGCCAGTGACAGCATCTTCAATCTAACTTCCTGTGTCCTTTTTTTTTTGGAGATGGAGTCTCGCTCTGTGGCCCAGGCTGGAGTGCAGTGGTGCGATCTTGGCTCACTGCAAGCTCTGCCTCCTGGGTTCACGCCATTCTCCTGCCTCAGCCTGCCGAGTAGCTGGGACTACAGGCGCCCACCATCATGCCCAGCTAATTTTTCTGTATTTTTAGCAGAGACGGGATTTCACTGTGTTAGCCAGGGTGGTCTCGATCTCCTGACCTTGTGATCCGCCCACCTCGGCCTCCCAAAGTGCTGGGATTACAGGCGTGAGCCACTGCGCCTGGCCTACTGTGTCCTTTTAACATATTCCCCTTATACTTTGAAAATGTCTTTATTTTCTGGCACAATATAATGTTCCAGACTTATTTTGTTCTTCCATGTCTCCAGCTCTAGAATCGGGTATTTCTTAAAGGAACCCTGGTTCTTTTAGTGAAGGGTCTTATTTAGAATCCATTTCTGGACCTTCTCAGAAGATTTAGCTAGGGAATCCATAGATACACACCCACACATTTACACCTATGTTTATTTTTTATATGTTCGTGTATTTGGCAACACGATCTTGCCCTTTCACCCTGGCTGGAGTGCAGTGGCACAATCACGGCTCACTGCAGCTTTGACCTCCTGGGCTCAAGGAATCCTCCTACCTCAGCCTCCTGAGCAGCTGGGACTACTCTGCGTGCCACCACGCCCAACTAATCTTTTTGTATTTTTTGTAGAGATGGGGTTTCCCAATGTTGCCTAGGCTAGTCTCAAACTCCTGGGCACAAGCGATCCACCTGCCTCAGCCTCCCAAAGTGCTGGGATTGCAGGCATGAGCCACCATGCCTGGCCTATATTTTCTATATATTGAAAATGACAAGTTCACACTAATATGTTCTCTATGTTCTTTGATCTGCAGGTTTGTACTTTTAATCGAAAACTTTGGTCATTATGTCTTCCAATATTTTTCTGCTCCCCCCACCTGCTTTTTGTGGGACGCCAATTCGATGTTAGACCGCTTGATATTTTCTTACACATCACTGACACACCTTTCAATTTTTATTTTTAGTCTTTTCCTTTCTGTCCTTACTTTGGATAATTTTTACTGCTGTGTTTCCATGTTCAGTGGTCTTTTTTTCTGTCATGTCTGTACTGCTTTTAATCTCATCCAAGGTGTTCTTAATTTCAGATGCTGGTATTTTTCAGCTTTAGATTCTCCCCCTTAAATGTCTTTGATCTCTCTGCTTATCATGCTTATGTTTTCCTCTACTTTTTGAACGTATGAGTACTTCAATTTTATTTTAATTTTATTTTTAAGAGGGAGTTTCGCCCTTGTCGCCCAGGCTGGAGTGCAATGGCACGATGTCAGCTCACTGCAACCTCTGCCTCTAGGGTTCAAGCAATTCTCATGCCTTAGTCTCCTGAGTAGCTGGGATTTCAGCCACCCGCCACCATGCCCAGCTAATTTCTGTACTTTTAGTAGAGACGGGGTTTCGCCATGTTGGCCAGGCTGGTCTTGAACTCCTGACCTCAGGTGATCCACCTGCCTCGGCTTCCTAAAGTGCTGGGAGTAGAGTGCATTTCTTTTAAAATTTACTTACTAATTTTTTTTTTCCTTTTAGAGACAGGATCTCGCTCTGTTGCCCAGGCTAGAGTGCAGTGGCACCACCGTGGCTCACTGCAGCCTCAACCCCCCTGGGCTCAAGCAAACCGCCTGCTTCAGTCCACCAAATTGTTGGGATTACAGGCATGCACCACCACACCTGGCCTGGATTTCATTTTATTCCTTTAAGGATACCAGACTTTATTCTGGCATATACATATGGTTAAGTTACTTGTAGTCATTTGGACCCTTCCCATGTTTTCTTTTAAATACCGTTGGGGCTCATCTAGTGCAGTCTTTGCCTAGTTTAATTTCATCTCACTACTAAGGTAAAATCCTTCTGAGTACTCTACCTGTTGCCTTATGTATTATGAAGTCTCTCCACTGTGGCTAATGGGAACATGAGCTCTTCAGAAAATATTTGGCCTACTGCTTCTCTCTAGTTTTCTCCAGTCTCTGGAATTTCACCTTACAAATTTACAGATGATGTTTTCAGAGATTTAAGGGTACCCTGTGCAGATCTCAAGGCTGCCCCCTTCTCTCCCATATTCTGTTGTGTAAATCCTACCCACTTTAGTTTCTGCAAACTTTGCTCTCTCTCTAACTCAGTGAGGCTGCTGGGCTTTTTTTGATGTCCATTCTGCTATGGACTGAATGATTATGTCTCCCCCCAATTCACAGGTTGAAATTGTAATCCCCAATATGCTGTATTAGGAGATGGGGCCTTGGGAAGTGATTTGATCATGAGGGTGGAGCCCTCATGTCATGGGAGTCACGCCCTTACAAGAAGAGAGGGGAGAGAGGTTCCTTCTTCCTTCTGTTCTTAGCCATGTGAGGACACAAGGAGAAGACAGCCATTTGCAAACCAGGAAGAGTGCCCTCACCAAATATCCAATGTGCTAGCACCTAAATCTTGTACTTCCCAGCCTCCAGAACTGTGAGAAATAAATGTATGTTGTTTAAGCCATCCAGTTTATGGTATTCTTGTTGTAGCAGCCTGTACCGACCAAGACACCTCCCTGGTCTGCCTCTTGGAAACTGCCTTTAGGTAATAAGCTGGGAAAATGGTAGGGCTTGTTTTCCTTCTTTCAGGGATCAAAGTCCTGTGCTGCCTGTTATACAGTATCGGAAATGAGTGTTTCATATATTTTTGTCTGGTTTTCTAGTTGTTTATTATTGCATAATAGCAGTTAATCCTTCATGTGCAGAGGCAGAAATCCTTAAAAAAATGCTTTTTAATCCATATTTTTCTGTCCGATACCAGTTTTTCCATTTTACTTATAAGACCCTCCTGCCAACAGCCTTTAATTGGTCATTCATTTCTGCAACATATTGATAAGCACCTGCTAAGTGCCTGATGTGGTCAGACAGTGCAGGTACAAAAAATAGAAGACATAGTTGCTGCCCTTTAGGACCTTATTGTTTTGTGAGCGATTTAGACAGGTAAGTATTCACAATAATATCATATTAGTAACACTGGCCACATGTCCCAAAGAGTAGATAAACATGGAGGAGATAATTATTAATTTGGCCTGGGAATTTGGGGCAGGCTTCCTAGAGGAAGTAGAATTCAGCTGAGCTTTGAGGGATGAATAGCAGGTAGCTACATAGAGAAGGCAGGGTTGCAGAGAGTATTCTTTTTTTTTTTTTTTTTTTTTTTTTGAGACGGAGTCTCGCTCTGTCGCCCAGGCTTGAGTGCAGTGGTGCAATCTCGGCTCACTGCAAGCTCTGCCTCCCGGGTTCACGCCATTCTCCTGCCTTAGCCTCCCGAGTAGCTGGGACTACAGGTGCCCGCCACCACGTCTGGCTAATTTTTTTTTTGTATTTTTAGTAGAGATGGGGTTTCACTGTGTTAGCCAGGATGGTCTCGATCTCCTGACCTCGTGATCCGCCCGCCTCAGCCTCCCAAAGTGCTGGGATTGCAGGTGTGAGCCACCGCACCCGGCCAAGGGTATTCTTAGTTTAAAAGTCTTCTATATATATTTTAAAACATATTTAAAAGATGCTGGCCAGTCACAGTGGCTCATGCTTCTAATTCCAGCACTTTGGGAGGCCGAGGTGGGAGGATTACTTGAGCCCAGAAGTTTGAGACCAGCCTGAACAACATGGTGAGACCCTGTCTGTACTACAGAAAAAAAAAAAAAAGTTTATCTAGGTGTGGTGGTGTGCACCTGTACTCCCAGCTACTTGGGAGGCTGAAGTGGGAGGATCACTTGACCCTGGGAGGTCGAGCGGTGTTCATAGCGCTGTACTCCAGCCTGGGTGGCAGAATGAGACCCTGTCTCAAATAAAATAAAATAAAATAAAAGATGCCAAAAAGAATTCTTAACCAGGTCGGGCACTGTAGTTCATGCCTGTAATGCCAGCACTTTGGGAGGCTGAGGTGGGTGGATCACTTGAGGTCAGGAGTTTGAGACCACCCTGGCCAACATGGTGAAACCCCATCTCCACTAAAGACAAAAAAATTAACCGGGCGTGGTGGCGCACAGCTGTAATCAGCTACTGGGGAGGCTGAGGTGGGACAATCGTTTGAATGCAGGAGGCAGAGGTTGCAGTGAGCTGAGATTGCGTCACTGCATCCAGCCTGGGTGACAGAGTGAGACTGTCTCAAAAAAAAAAAAAAAAATTATTAACCAAGTTTGTATTTGGAATATACTGCTTTTCTTTTCTTTTCTTTTTCTTTTTCTTTTGAGCTGGAGTCTCTGTTGCCCAGGCTGGAGTGCAATGGCGCCATCTTGGCTCACTGCAACCTCTGCCTCCTGGGTTGAAGCAGTTCTCCTGACTCAGCCTCCTGAGTAGCTGATATTACAGGTGCCTGCCACCATGCCCGGCTAATTTTTGTATTTTTTTATAGAGACAATGTTTTACCATGTTGGCCAGGCTGGTCTCAAATTCCTGACCTCAGGTGATCCATCCGCCTCGGCCTCCCAAAGTGCTGGGATTATAGGCGTGAGCCACTGTGTCCGGCCTGTAGAGGAATCTTAAAACTGTCATAGTTGGCCTGGTGCAGTGGCTGATGCCTGTGATCATAGCACTTTGGAAAGCTGAGGCAGGAGGATTGCTTGAGGCCAGGAGTTTGAGACCAGCCTGGGCAACATAGACCTCATTTCTACAAAAAATTTGAAAATTAGCTGGTCATGGTGGCATGTGCTGGTAATCCCAGCTACTTAGGAGGCTGAGATGGGAAGCTCTCTTGATTCCAGGAGTTTGAGGCTCAGTGAGCTCCAGTCATACCACGGCACTCCAGCATGGGCAACAGAGTGAGACCCTGTCTCTGAAACAACAGCAACAACACAGTCATAGGTATTTAATAACGTTTAAATATTTTTTCCATCAAAATTCAGTTTCACAGAAAGCCAGTGAAATGCAAAGTGACATTTTAAAGAATGCACTTGGATAGATAATCATTTGCTTCTACCAACTGGTGAAAATCATCAGCAAAAGTTAGTAATCATGGTTTTTTTTGTTTGTTGTTGTTGTTGTTTTTGAGATGGAGTCCAGCCCAGGCTGGAGTGCAATGGTGCAATCTCAGCTCGCTGCAACCTCTGCCTCCTGGGTTCAAGTGATTCTCCTGCCTCAGCCTCCCGAGTAGCTGGGATTCTAGGCGTCCACCACCGCGCACAGCTAATTTCTGTATTTTTAGTGGAGATGGGGTTTCGCCATGTTGGCCAGGCTGGTCTCAAACTCCTGACCTCATGATCCGCCCACCTCGGCCTCCCAAAGTGTTGGGATTACAGGTGTGAGCCACCATGCCTGGTCTGTAATCCTGTCTCTAAACATTTTTAGCAGTATATGAAAGTGTCAGTAAGTAAATATTTATGAACAAAAAGTCTGTTTTGATTTGCAGGATTTTCGGAACAGGTGACAATTGGGATTGCTTTGCTCTTCAGTCTTTTTTTTTTTTTTTTGAGACAGAGTCTCACTCTGTTGCCCAGGCTGGAGTGCAGTGGCACCATCTCAGCTCACTGCAAGCTCTGCCTCCTGGGTTCACGCCATTCTCCTGCCTCAGCCTCCTGAGTAGCTGGGACTACAGGCGCCCGCCACCACGCCCGGCTAATTTTTTGTATTTTTAGTAGAGAGGGGGTTTCACAGTGTTAGCCAGGATAGTCTCTATCTCCTGACCTCGTGATCCACCTGCCTCGGCCTCCCAAAGTGCTGGGATTACAGGCGTGAGCCACTGCACCTGGCCTGCTCTTCAATCTTTTTTAATTGAGGGCTTTTCTCTAACTTAAAGAATCAGTATCTTTTTATTTCAGTAAATCTTATGTTATGTCAAAATTAATTTTTCTCAGCCATAGGAGAAGGAAAAAATAAATCCAACAGAGAGTTAACAGTTACATAGGCCAAAGGCAAATTAATAATAAATGCCATAGGTCTTTCTCATATTTTGCCATTTTTAAAATAAGATGGCCTTCCTTTAGTGTAGTAATTAAATTTATAGCAGTCCTGTGTTTAACAACACTTTTACCACTAGATGTCACTAGACTAAAACAATTGGTAAGCTTGTTGAAACTGCTGCAACCTGGTGCAGTCTTTTCAAAGGCCTTTGGTTAATAAGGCTTCCTCTGTAGCACCTGCATTTCTCATAAAACTAAGTCACAGCTTGCTTCAAGCACAAGCTGATTGGGAAATATACATGTTCTGTGACACGTTAGTAATCTAGAATTACTTATTTTAGTGTTTATCAGGACAGAAAAGGACAAATCTTACTACCGGAGGAAACTTTTTAGTGACCTTAATTTTTTGGAGAGAAAACGATTTTCAGTCTATCTCTGTACTCAGAGAAGCATTTATCGTCACACCTCAGGTTTCTCAAGAGTTGAGATTTTGTCCTTTTTTTTTTTTTTTTCTCGAGACGGAGTCTTGCTCTGTTGCCCAGGCTGGAGTGCAGTGGTGTGATCTTGGCTCACTGCAAGCCCCGCCCCGCCAGGCTCAAGCAATTCTTCTGCCTCGGCCTCCCGAGTAGTTGGGACTACAGGCGCGCACCACCATGCCTGGCTAATTTTGTGTATTTTTAGTAGAGATGGTTTTCACCATGTTGGCCAGGCTGGTCTCAAACTCCTGACCTCAGGTGGTCTGTCTGCCTCAGCCTCCCAAAGTCCTGAGATTACAGGCATGAGCTACCATGCCCAGCCAAGAGTTGGGATTTTGTCTTAGACATCGTGGATTTCTTAGGGCCCAGCACAAAGCTTGGCACTTGGTAGGTACTCAGTAAATGCAATTAAGCATTAGGGTAGTATACTAGATGTCATGGGGGAAAAGATAGCTCACAGGTCCTCTGCTCTCAAGAAGTCTCATTTGGGAGATAATACATGCCCACAGCACAGGGTATTGTATGTAAACCAAATGAGTAGTGCATTCACTAGCTTCTGTAGTATTTCAGGGGATCAGTAGCTCTTGAGAGCTAGCGGTAGTGATCAAAGGTGTCCTTAAGAGAAAGCATATTTAGAGATGCAAAAGTAGGACAGTTACAAGTGAAGAAAGCAATGAGCCAAGGTTTAAGGATAGGAAAATGCAGGCAGTAAAGATTTAGAAAGATAAAAACTCAAGGGCCCTGAATTTAAAGCATACATTTAGGTTTAATATTTTTTAGGGATATTGGAGGGGACATTGAAGGATATTGGTGTGGGAAAATAATATGTTGCATGATAGTTTGTAATTTACAAAACAATAGCACTTGAAGAAGAATGAATTAAAGATGATTGCTCTTTGATTTTAAAATACTTCTGTTTTAAAGTCTATTATAGGCCGGGCACGGTGGCTCACACCTGTAATTCCAGCATTTTGGGAGGCCTAGGCGGGCAGATCACCTCAGGTCAGGAATTTGAGACCAGCCTGGCCAGCAGGGTGAAACCCCGTCTCTACTAAAAATACAAAAAGTAGCTAGGCATGGTGGCGTGCGCCTGTAATCCCAGCTACTCAGGAGGCTGAGGCAGGACAATCGCTTGAACCTGGGAGGCAGAGGTTGCAGTGAGCCAAGATCGTGCCACTGAACTGCAGCCTGGGTGACAGAGTGAGACTCCGTCTCCAAAAAAATACATAAAGTCTACTACAAACACTTTTATTTAAAAGAGAGAACATAGGCATAGGGCTTAGTATATAGTACCTCTCACTTAATAAACCCTCAGTACATGATTCTTGTTGATAGTAATATTATTAAATGAGGAAAAAATATTAGAGACATGCTACAAAATAACTAACCGGTTTTCTTTATAAGAGTCAAAGTCTTGAAAGACAAGGAACAATTGAAGAATTATCACAGATTTAAGGAGACTAAGGAGACATGCAGTGTGGGTCCTGGATTGGGTCCTAGAATGAGAAAGGATGTTAGTGGGAAAAAAGGGCACATTTGAATAGTTGTGTAGTTTAGTTGATTATATTGTAGCAGTGTTAATTTCCTGGTTTTGATCATTGTATTGCAGTTACATACTATGTTAATATTAAGGGGAAGCTGCTGAGGGTGTAGTGGTGAGATCATGACTCACTGCAGCCTCGACCTCCCAGGCTCAAGTAATCTTCCTGCCTCAGCCTCCTGAGTAGCTGAGACCACAGGTGTGTGCCACCACTCCCAGCTAATATTTTTAATTTTTTTTGTAGAAATAGGGTTCCGTATGTTGCCCAGGCTGGTCTTGAATTTCTGGGCTCAAGGGATCCTCCCACCTTTGCCTCACAAAGTGCTTGGGATAATAGGCATGAGCCATTGCACCCATCTGGAATCCTATACTTTATGCAACTTTTCTATTTCTTTCTTTCTTCTTTCTTCTTTCTTTTCTCTTTTTTTTTTTTCTTTTTGGAGGCAAAAATCTTGCTTTGTTGCCCAGGCTTGGAGTGCAATGGAGCGATCTTGACTCACTGCAACCTCTGCCTCCCGGGTTCAAGTGATTCTCTTGCCTCAGCCTCCTGAGTAGCTGGGACTACAGGCACGTGCCACCATGCTTGGCTAATTTTTGTATCTTTAGTATGGTTTCACCATGTTAGCCGGGCTGGTCTTGAACTCCTGGCCTCAGGTGATCCGCCTGCCTCAGCCTCCCATAGTGCTGGGTTTACAGGCATGGGCCACCACACCTAAGCCTGCAACTTTTCTTTAACTTCTTTTGCTTTTTTTAAACTTCTTATTCAAAAATAGTAAGTTTAAAAATACAATTTTGTTTTAGAAAAGATTTCAATTTTGTATTTGAACTAAGTTATCTACTGAGAGGTCGGATGTCAACAGAAAGAATTTAGAATCTCCTACCCGACAGAGCTTTTAAGATCCACTAAAGCCCATTAAGCAATCCACTAGAATAGCTTAAGGCAAGAGTGGGTTCCCTTGAAGACCCAGAAGTAGAACCTCTGAGGTGCTTCCTTGATTAGGCTTTGTCTCAGTGGAATGTTGGAGCTAGTTTGATTGTCTATCCAGACCATTAAAACTTTTTATGTCAGCACTAGGGCTGTTTTTGCCTTTGTGTGTTCACTGGAGTAGCACTTTTAATTCCCTTTAAGAACTTGTCCTTTGCATTCACAGCTTGGCAAACTGGTGCAAGAGGCCTGACTTCTACCCTGTCTTAGCTTTGAACATACCTTCCTCACTCTAGCTTTTGATTTAAAGTGAGAGATGTGCAATTCTTCCTTTCACTTGAACACATAAAGACCATTGTAGGGGAATTCATTGGCCTGATTTCAATATTATTGTATTTCAGGGAGTAGGTCCAAGGAGAGGGTGATAGCCGGGGGAATGATTGGTCCGTGAAGCAGTCAGAGCACATGCAACACTTCTCAGTTTAAGTTTCCTGTTTTCTATGGGTGTGGTTTGTGGTGCCCAAAACAATTACAATAGTGACATCAAAGATCACTGATCACAGATCACCATGACAGATATCATAATAATGGAAGTTTGAAATATTGCAAGAATTACCAAAATGTGACAGACATGAAGTAAGCACCCTGCCACAAATCTTCAATTTGTAAAAAAAAACACAGTATCTGTGAAGCACAATTTAAAAAAAATTTGAAGTGGAATAGAATGAGGTGTGCCTATATATGGAAGATGGCTTGATCTAATCAGAGATAAAAAGAGATGAATGAGGACCATATCAAAATTATTTCCAGTTTGCAGTTAATTCTGCTCCCAGTCTCCAGTCCTAGGCAACCACAGGCCAGCTTTTCTGGACACTTCATCTAAATGGAATCATACAATACATACTCTTTTGAGTCTGACTTCCAGTTTTTGCCTGTTATGAATAATGCTGCTATGAACCTTTGTGACCATGTGTTCATGTGAATGTGTTTTTATTTCTTTTGGGTGGATTCTTAGGAACGGAATTGGTAGGTTGTATGGTAACTTTGTGTTTACTTTTACGAAACTGCCAAACTTTTTTCAAAATTACCATTTTACATTCCTTCCAGCAATGTATGAGAATTCAGTATTCTCTTTATTTCTGATTATAGCCATCAGAGTGGTTGTGTAGTGGTATCTCATTATGGTTTACATTTACATTTCTCTAATGATGTTGAGATTATTTTTGTGTGCTTGAAATACCTGTTCAAATCTCTTATCCATTTTTAAATTGGGTTTTTAACTTATATTGTATTATAACAAGTTCTTTATTCTGGATACAATCTCTTAATCAGATATATGATTTGCAGTATTTTCTCCCAGACTGTGACTTTCTTTTCATTTTTTGGGGGATTTTTTTTTTTTTTTTTTGAGACCGAGTCTCACTCTGTCGCCCAGGCTGGAGTGCACTGGCGCGATCTCAGCTCACTGCAAACTCCACCTCCTGGGTTCAAGCAGTTCTCCTGCCTTAGCCTCCCAGGTAGCTGGGATTACGGGTGCCTGGCTCATTTTTGTGTTTTTAGTAGAGACAGGCTTTCACCATGTTGGCCAGGCTGGTCTGGAACTTCTGACCTGGCTGATATTTTTTGAAGTACAACTTTTTTAATCTTGATGAAGTTCAGTGTATCAATATTTTTAATAAAGATTTCTCCTAGAAGTTTTATAGTTTTAGTGATTGCATTTAGGCCTGTGATCCTTTTTGGATTACTTTGTGTGTGTTGTGTAAAGGTCTAAGTTCATTTTGCTTTGTTTGTTTGCTTGTGGTATCCAGTTGACCCTGTACCATATGTTGAAAAGATTGTGTTTTCCCTTATTGAATTATCTCAGCACCTTTAAAAAATGACCATAAATGTAAGGGTTTATTTCTGGACTCTTAGGTCTGTTCCATTGATCTGTCCCA
Source organism: Homo sapiens (assembly GCF_000001405.40). Lineage (NCBI taxonomy): Eukaryota > Metazoa > Chordata > Mammalia > Primates > Hominidae > Homo > Homo sapiens. The sequence continues at coordinate 350,561 of NW_011332696.1, forward strand.
TTTTTAATTTCGTGGATTGTACTTTGGTGTTGTATCTAAAAAGTCATCACCAAATCCATGCTTACCTAGATTTTCTCTTGTATTACTGCTTAGGACTTTCATAGTTTTGCATTTTACATTTAGGTCTGCGATCCATTTTGACTTAATTTTTGTGAAAGGTATAAACCATATGTGCTTTTAAAGACTATATAGTCTGCAGTCATTGGGTAGAGAGTTTTATATATGTCAGTTATGTTGGTTGATAGTGTTTTTTGAGTTTTGTATATTCTTACTGATTTTGTCTTTAGTTTTATCAATTGAGAGTGAGGTACTGAATTATTAACCTGTTTTGTTGAATTGTGTATTTTTCCTTTTGATTCTGTCAGTTTTTCCTTCATTTGTTTTGAGGATATGTTGCTGGTGTGGATACATTTAGAATTATTATATCTTCATGATGTAACAACTTTCATCATTATGAAACACCGTTCTCTAATATTACTCTCTGTCTTTATTTCTATTTTATCTAATATTAATAGAGCCATTTGTGTTAGTCCACTTTGAGTTGCTATAAAGGAATACCCGAGGCTGGGTAATTTATAAAGAAGAGAGGTTTATTTGGCTCACAGTTCTGCAAGCTGTATAAGAAGTGTGGCACCAGCATCTGCTTCTGGTAAGGACCTCAGAAAACTTTCAATCATGGAGGAAGGTGAAGGAGGAGCAGGCATGTCACATGGTAAGAGAGGGAGACAGAGGTGGGGGAGGTGCCACACTCCTTTAAACAACCAGTTCTCCCATAAACTAATAGAGGGAGACTTGCTCGGTACTACAGGGAGGCACCAAGCCATTCTTGAGGGATCTGCTCTTATGACTCATACATCTCCCACTAGACCCCACCTCCAACATTAGGGGCCACATTTTAACATGAGATTTGGAGGGGACAAGTATCCAAATGATATCACTATTCTGTCTTTCTTATGGTTCTATGATGGTATATATCTTTTTTTTTTTTTTTTTTGAGACAAAGTCTTGCTCGACAGGCTGCTGAAGTGCAGTGGCGCGATCTCAGTTTCCTGCAACCTCTGCCTCCTGGGTTCAAGTGATTTTCCTGCCTCAGCCTCCCAAGTAGCTGGGATTACAGGCGCGTGCCAGCATGCCTGTCTAATTTTTGTATTTTTAGTAGAGATAGGGTTTTGCCATGTTGGCCGGGCTGGTTTCGAACTCCTGACCTCAGATGATCCACCTGCCTCGGCCTCCCAGAGTGTTGGGATTACAGGTGTGAGCCACCGTGCCCAGTGGGTATGTATCTTTTTTTATCTGTTTGCTTTCAACTCTTTTGTGTCTTTGAATCTAAGGTGTGTCTTTTGTAAATAGCATATAGTTGGATCTTGATGTTTCATCCAGTCTGACATTCTCTACCTTTTGATTGAGGTATAAAAACCATTCACTTTTAATATAGTTATTGATCTGGTTAGATTTGCCTTTTTATTATTTCTTTTCTATACATTCTTGTCTATTTTGTTTCTCTGTTCCTCCTTGACTGCCTCCTTTTATATTAAATACATATTTTTAGTTTACTGTTTTAACTGTTCCATTGATTTTTTTTAACTATGTATTTTTTGGAGTTGTTTTCTTAGCAGTTGCTGTAGGGATTACAGTGTACATGTTAATTATCAGAGTCTACTTCAGATTAATACTAACTTAATTCTGGTAAAATATATATGCTTTGCTCCATTATAGCCTCATTCTTTCACCCTTTTTTGTGCTATTATTCTCATGTATAATATCTGTATATATTTGTAAACCCAAAACACAGTGTCATAGTTACTTCCTTAAGGATGTTTGTCTTTTAAAGAAGTTAAGAGAAGGTGTGAATAAAAATATATTTGTAGAATCTTCTGTGTTAACTCACATATTTACAATTTTTGGTGTTCCTCAGTTCTTCTTGGACTTCAGGTCCCCAACCGTTGTCACTTCCTTTTACCCTGAAAAGACTTTTGTTAGTATTTAATGTTACAAATTCACTAGCAGATTTTCTCAGTTTTTGTTTATCTAGGAATGTCTTTGTCTTTTTTTTTTTTGAGGGATAAATTTGATTGAAATGGAATTTTTGGTTGACAATTTTTTTCCCCCAGCACTTTATATATGCCATTCTACTCTCTTCTAGCCTCCATTGTTTCAGACGAGTTGCTTTTCTCTTGCTCATTTCAGGATTTTTTTTTCCTTTAGCTTTCCATAGTTTGTGATAAGTCCAAGTTTTGATCTCTTTGTATTTATCCTACTTGGGGCCTTTGAGCTTCTTGAATGTGTGGATTAATATTTTTCATCAGATTTGGTAAGTTTGTCTCTTCTTTCCTTCTGGGATTTCCATTATGCATGTGTTGGCATGTTTGTTGTTGTTGCACAGATCTCTAAGGCACTGTTTTATTTTCTTTAATCTTTTCTCTTTGTTCTTTAGATAATTTCTATTTTCAGGTTCACTGATTCTTTTTCCTGCCATCCCCAAATTGCTATTGAGTTGCCCCAGTGAATTTTTCATTTCCATTATTATACTTTTCAACTCCAAGATTTCTGTTTGGTTTCTTATTTTTAAAAATTTTATGTATGTATGTATTTGTTTGTTTGTTTTGTAGAGACAAAGTCTCATTATGTTGCCCGGCTGGTCTCAAACTCCTGGGCTCAAGCAATGTGCTGACCTTGGCCTCCCAAAGTGCTGGGATTACAGGTGTGAGCCACCGTGCCTGGCCTGCTTTTTAAAATATATATATAATTTCTGTCTCCTTATAGGGAATCTGAATTTGTAGATTCATTGTTATATTTTTCTTTCTTTTATTATGATTTTCTGTAGTTCTGTGAGCTTATAATTGCTTTGAAATTTTTGTCTGCTGTATCTAGTATCTTCAATACTCAGAGGCAATTTCTATTGACTGCATTTTTTTCTTGAGTACGAGTCACACTCCTGTTTCTTTGTAGGTCTTATAATTTTTTTGTTAAGAACTGGGCATTTTAGATAATATAGCAGCTGTGGATTCTGATCCTCCCAAATTGCTGTTGTTACTTTTTTGTCTGTTCATTGCTCTTTGTTTAGTAACATGTTTGTCAAACCTGTGAAATCTTTTTCCTGTGGTTTGTGGCCATTAATGTCTCTACTTTTCCACCCCACACCCTCCTTTTTAAAAGACGACAATCACTTTATTATCTCTCAGATTTCTGTGGGTCAGGGATTCTGGAAGGGCTCAGCTGGGCAGTTCTGACTTTGTTATGCAGCTGCAGTCAGTTGGTGGCTGGAGCTGAAATAACAGGGGCTGGAGCAGCTGGGGGCCGTCTGGGCAGCTCTCTTTATTTGTGTAGTCTCAGGTCCTCTCCATGTGTCTGCTTGCTTTTTAAACTTGCTTATATCTTTACATCTGCTTTCCTAGGGGTTGTCCATATGTCTGCATGGGTTAATAGTCAGTTATTGATCAGAGGTTGTACTTAACCACCTTGATCAGGAAGGCTTCTGTCATCTGTAAATGGCTCTGCGTGGCAGGGTAGCACATTCAAAGTTCAGGCCATTTTCAAATCTTATCTTTTGTTCACTGCTGAACCCTTTCACCTCTCCCCTTGGAATACACACACCCTCAGTGTCAGCTAGGAGCACGTGACTGGTTGCACCCTTTCAGGTCTCTGCTGCAAATGCATACAGCCTTAGCTAGGAGTAAGCTTGCCCTGACCACGACCACAACCTCGTGTTAGTATAGCTTTTGGCACTTTCCACTTGCCCATCTCTGAGATAGTCAATTCTACTGATGACACCGCTGGATGTGGATGCTACCTATTGTTCCAAATAAGTCAGCAGCCGCTTCCTGCTAAAGCAGGAAAGCTTCCTGTTCTCATTACCTGTCCCATTCTGGTACAACATCTGCTTCAACTGAGGCAGGAAGGTTGGGAGAAGCCTCACATCTCAATGACACAGATTCTCACTATTTTTACCCAAGTTCTTTTTTTTTTTTTGAGATGGAGTCACACTCTGTCACTCAGGCTAGAGTGCGGTGGCACAATCTCGGCTCACTGCAACCTCCAACTCCCAGGTTTAAGCGATTCTTCTGCCTCAGCCTCTGAAGTAGCTGGGACTGCAGGAGCACACCACCATGCCTGGCTAATTTTTGTATTTTTAGTAGAGACGGGGTTTCACCATATTGGCTAGGCTGTTCTCAAACTCCTGACCTCGTGATCCGCCTGCCTCGGCCTCCCCAAGTGTTGGGATTACAGGCGTGAGCCGCCACACTTGGCCAAGTTCATTCATTTTTAAGGCATAAATGCTTCTCAAATTTTTATATGCCATTGGTTGATTTTCCAAACCTCAAAATGGTTTGAATTATGTTTGAATGGTATGAATTATGTTCAGCTTTATAGTTACCTTTTGCAGAGAGGATATGTTGATCTCCTCATTTGGATTTATCAAGAAGTCCCACTTGTCTGTCCATGTGGTTTTTTTTTTTTTGGAGATGGAGTCTCACTCTGTCGCCCAGGTTGGAGTGCAGTGGCGCAGTCTTGGCTCACTGCAACCTCTGCCTCCTGAGTTCAAGCGATTCTCGTACCTCAGTCTCTTGAGTAGCTGCAATTACAGGTGTGTGCCACCATGCCTGGCTAATTTTTGTATTTTTAGTAGAGACAGCATTTCGCCACGTTGGCTAGGCTGGTCATGGACTCCTTGCCTCAAGTGATCCACCTGCCTCGGCCTCCCAAAGTGCTGGGATTACAGGTGTGAGCCACTGTGCCTGGCCCCCCATTTGCTTTTAATCTAGCTTTTAAAGTAGCCAGCATATAGTTGTCTTGCTGTTTTATATATGTTGAAAATCTGTCTTTTTAATGATATCTTTAACACTCTTAGATTTAGTGTAATTTCAGTGTGGTGGGGTTAAAGTCCACTGTTGCTATTTTTTTTTTTTTTATTTGTTCTAGTTCGTTCTCTTTTTTTGAGACAAAGTCTTGCTTTTTCTCCCAGGCTCTAGTGCAGTGTTATGATCTTGGCTCACTGCAACCTCTACCTCCTGGGTTCAAGCAATTCTCCTACTCCTACCTCAGCCTCCTGAGTAGCTGGACTACAGGCACGTGCTAGTTTTTTGTATTTTTCATAGAGACAGGGCTCCACTATGTTGGCCAGGCTGGTCTCGAACTCCTGACCTCAAGTGATCCACCTGCCTCGGCCTCCCAAAGTGCTGGGATTACAGGTGCCAGCCACCGTGCCCGGCCTTTGCTCCTGTTCTTTATTCCTTCCTCCCTGCCCACCCATACCTTTTTCTGTCTGCTTTAGGATTGAGTCTTTTTATGTTCCAATATTTATCTGCACTGTTGGGTTATTATTTTTATGTATGAATATATGTATTTTTTTTCTAGAGTGCAGTGGCACAATCATAGCTCACTGTAACCTTGAACTCCTGGGCTCAAGTGATCCTCTAGCCTCAGCCTCCTGAATAGCTAAGACTACAGGCATGTACCACCATGCCCAGCTAATTAAAAAAAATACTTTTTTTAGAAATGTGGTCTTATTGTGTTGTTAAGACTGGTCTCAAACACCTGGCCTCAAGTCATCCTCTTGCCTCAGCCCCCTGAGTAGTTGGGATTGCAGGTTTGAGCTCTCATGCCTAGCAAGATTCATTATGTGGTTGTATCAATAGTTTGTTCCTTTTATTGTTTCCTTCTTATGGATATACCATAGACTGTCTATCCATTTGCCAGCTGAAGGAATCGGGGTTGTTTCCAGTATTTGGTGATTATAAGTAAAGCCAACATAAGTTTTGTGGCAGTTACAATATATGACAGAATTGCTTCCCAAAGGATTTAATAAACTAATTCATAGTAAAAACAATACTATCTGAGCATTTCCATTTCATAATATCCTCTTCAACACTGGGCATTACTTAAGGATTTGTTTTCTCCAAAATGGAAGTATCTTTTATTCTGATCATGAAAGTAACACGTGCTCATGATTTTATGTCACTCAGCCCTCTGATCCGAAACCTAAATATACTCCATTTTGTCTCTTTTGTTAGAGCATGACCCCCAGAATTGGCATAGTGTTCCAGGTGTGGATTGGATCCAGTGTCTTTTCTGCATGATATATTCCTTTTAATACAGCCCAAGTTTAAGTAGCTTTTTTGGCAGCCACGTGCACTTGAGTCATATCGAATCATCTAAAACTCTAAAGTGTTTTTCACATGTGCTGACATTAAGCCACACCTCCCCCATCCTGTATTTCTGCAGATAGTTTTTGGACCTTCAGTGAAAGACTCACATTCATCCACAGTTCAGTGTCACATGTAGCCTCAGTTTCTAGCTTGTTGAAGCCTTTTTTGAATCCCCACGATTAACACACCATGAGGGGCCTCACTCAAGTCATTAAAGAATGTTTAACACGACAGAACCTAGGTCAGAGATCCAGGGAAAAGCTCATCACAGTCAACAGACACAGAACTCTTTCTGTTAAGAATACTTTTTTATTTTCCAGTTTCTAGTTGGTATTTTTGTGGGAAGTAAATTGCTATCTCATATGCGATTAGTGAGAACTAACATTTGTGATTATTATATTAATTGAGACTCTTTTTGGTATCTGATTATCAGTACCATGCTTATTATGTATATCATTAATGCAGTTTTTATTGTGGTATTTTATCACCACAAACTGTATTTATTACTAGTCTATACTTATTTAAAACATTGAAGTGTTTTTCCTGAGACTTTAAACCACATCCTAAGACCACACTTCCCAAACATATGGTAGCAGTGACCAGAGACATAAAAATCACACCATTGATGAGAGAGTAATGATTCTAAGACCTGCCCCAAACCTCAAATAGGATAGCAATGTCATGGCTGCTCCTAATTTAGATGGGACGAAATCAACAAAAAGGAACTGCTGGCCGAGGATAGTTAATATTCAAAAGCAAAAGAAATGTATCTGTAAATAAGGAAGATAAATCTCATTATAATATCCACTGCTTTTTTTTGGATGTGGTCTTCCAGCAGTAGTAGATAAGTATATTATTAATGAAACAATTGTGTTAGTGTTCCATAATTATACAAAAAGGGAAAATAGGACAAGGCATGAATAATTAATGAAAGGAAACCAGACTCTTAAGTGGGGTGGGGGGGACATATAAGAAAAGGTAACAGCCATCTGTGAGTCTGGTCTGAGGACCAGAGGATGGCTGACATTTTTGGGGCCAGATAGACTATCTTTCTGCTGTTCTTCTCCTTTCCTGGCAATATACTGGAAGAGATTGAAACAGAACATCAAGGCAACCCCACACATGAGATGGAAATTTAAAAAATGTTCCAGATATGAGCATAACTCCCTAAGCCATTCTTTTAGCAATGGTTGAAGCCAGTCCTCTGACTTGCAGTAAGTTCTCGCAAGAGGCTACAGTTCCGAGGCCTATTTATTTTGGCCTCATTTTTATCCCTACTTTTACTTTGGTGACATTCCTTGAGTCTCACTCATTCCAGCATAGGGACAGGACACAGGTTGTTGAGGCAAATACTATGGGTTCATATAGAAAGTACCAGATATTAACTATCTCTGGCCAGAGTTTTTCCCCTAGGTCCTTACAAGTAAGTACTTTTTTTTTTTTTTTTTTTGAGACGCATTTTCATTCTTGTCGCCCAGGCTGGAGGGCAATGGTGCGATCTCGGCTTACTGCAAACTTTGCCTCCCAGGTTCAAGGGATTCTCCTGCCTCAGCCTCCCAAGTAGCTGGGATTACAGGCGCCCACCACCACGCCTGGCTAATTTTTATATTTTTAGTAGAGACCAGGTTTCTCCATGTTGGCTAGGCTGGTCTCGAACTCTTGACCTTAGGTGATCCACCCGCCTTGGCCTCCCAAAGTGCTGGGATTACAGGTGTGAGCCACCACTCCCAGCCAAATAAATATATTTTTAATGCACATTTACAATTCTAATTAGTTTTATATACCTCTGCCAGTATCTTTTAAGCCCAACTGAAGTTATGTGATTCCTCTGCAGAATTGGTTGCTCCATCCTGCCTACAACCAATTCTGATGCAGGTATGAGCTCCTCAGCTTGAGGTGAAGATCTCAAGCAGCCTTTATCTTAAAAAATTTATTTCGTTTTATGTATTTATTTTTTGAGACAGAGTCTCGCTCTGTCGCCCAGGCTGGAGTGCGGTGGCATGATCTTGGCTCACTGCAAGCTCTGCCTTTCGGGTTCAAGTGATTCTCATGCCACAGTCACCCGAGTAGCAGGGATTACAGGCACATGCCGCCACACCCAGCTAATTTTTGTATTTTTAGTAGAGACAGGGTTTTGCCATGTTGGCCAGGCTTATCTTGAACTCTTGACCTCAAGTGATCTTCCTGTCTCGGCCTCCCAAAGGGCTGGGATTACAGCCATGAGGCACTGCGCCTGGCCTCAAGCAGTCTTTAAATCTTCATTTCCCACTGTGTGCTTTGTATTGAGCTCCAGGCCAAATCGGACTGTTTTCTTTGCTTTCCCACCTCTAAACTTTGCCCATGCCCTTCTATCTGATAAAAAGCCATCTTTTCCACATAGGCCTGCTAAAATCTTTTCATTCCTTTAATGATTCCTTTTTAGATTCCTTTAATCTATCATTCCTTCAAGATTTTGCTTGTTCATTTGTTCAGCAAATATTTGAGGGCTGCTATGTGTTAGGCACTGTTCTAGGAGGTGAGGGTATAGCCAAATACACAATCTCTGCTTTCAAAGAGCTTACATTCTAATAGTTCATCCCACTAGAAGGCAAGTTTGTCTTAGACCATCTCCTTCATTATCTTTTTTACCTTTCCTAAATTGATACAATCTTTACATAGATCATGATGAGGAAGGAGGTAATATATTTGAAGTGACCACTGTGGCCAAGCACAGAACATTGCAAAATGCTTTAATTTTAAAAGCATGTGTCCTAAATGTAGAAGGAAGGATAACTAGAAATACAGAAAGTTATGGTCAGAAAGCCGGGGGTGGTGGCATGTACTTGTAATTACAGCTACTTGGGAGGCTGAGGCAGGAGGATCACCTGAGGCCAGGAATTTGAGACCAGCCTGGTCAACATAGCAAGACCTTATCTCCTTTTTTTTTTTTGACCTTATCTCAATAAGGTGGATGCACCTGTAGCCTCAGCTACTTGGGAGGCTGAGGCATCAGGATTGCTTGAGCCCAAGAGTTCCAGGCTGCAGTGAGCTATGACTGCACCACTGCACAGCAGCCTGGGTGACAGAGCAAGACCCTGTCTCTTAAAAAAAAAAAAATTATGGTCAAAGCAAAAGCAGTAATAAGTAGGATGACCTTAGATGATCCACCTTCCTTGGCCTCCCAAAGTGCTAGGAGTACAGGCATAAGCCACCACGCCCGGCCTAAACTGCCATTTTTAATGAATTGTAAAGAACAGAAGAGGTACCAGAAGCTTAGAAATAGAAAAAAGTACACGTTAAAAGGGGAGGCGGGTAATTGAACGAGGGGCCATGATTTCAAAATTTCCATCCATTGGTTCCAACTCTGTGCCTTCAGCGCTTGTTCTCTTTTAAAGTATTGATAGACTACTATTGTGCATCCAGTCAGTCTTGTTTTGTCACACTAAAAATTTCAAGATAAGTCCATAACAGGAGCATAAGTAAGATACTGCAAGGTTCTGACCTTGGCCTCAACCTTACTCAAGATCATATCACTTAGCTTGGTTCCTGCCATACTTAGCAAAGGACCCTATACATGCTAGATACTTATTGAAGATTTGTGGACTGGACTTAAATAAAGAGGTAGAGGCATATCAATCACATTGGTAGGTGGTAAAGTGTTGGACAGAATATCTGACACAATGGATGACAGAATCAAGGGTCAAAATGACCTTTTTTTTTGAGACAGAGTCTAGCTCTGTCACCTAGGCTGGAGTGCAGTGGCATGATCTCGGCTCACTTCAACCTCCACCACCTGAGTTCAAACCATTCTCCTGCCTCAGTCTCCCAAGTCGCTGGGACTACAGGTGCACGCCACCATGCCCGGCTAATTTTTTTGTATTTTTAGTAGAGACAGGGTTTCACCATGTTGGCCAGGCTGGTCTCGAACTCCTGACCTCAAATGATGCGCCCGCCTTGGCCTCCGAAAGTGCTGGGATTGCAGACGTGAGCCACCACGCCTGGCACAAAATGATCTTAACAGACTGAAAAGATGGTCTGAAACCACAATGACATTTAAAAGCAATACAGCTGGGTGCAGTGGCTCATGCCTGTAATCTCAGCACTTTGGGAGGCCAAGGTGGGCAGATCGCTTGAGCTCAGGAGTTCAAGACCAGCCTGGCCGACATGGTGAAACCCCGTCACTAAAAAAAAAAAAAAAAAAAAACGCTAAAAATTTAGGCAGGCATGGTGGTGTGCTCCTGTAGTCCCAGCTACTCAGGAGGTTGAGGCACGAGAATCACTTGAACCCAGGAGGCAGAGGTTGCAGTGAGCCAAGATCATGCCACTGCATTCCAGCCTGAGTGACAGAGTGAGACCCTATCTGAAAAAACAAAAAACAAAAACACTTAAAAGCAGTACCTGTAAAGTCCTGCATTTAGATGAAAAATAACCAGTTGTATAAGGATAGGGTGTGGGAAAACTGGCTCAACAGCAATTCAGTGGGGGCTTTTTTGATCTCAAGTTCAGAAAGTGGAAGCAGTAGTCCCAGGCACCTGGCAATGGTTACTGTACACCTGCGAGAGTATTCTGGGTGTCATGTTTAAGAAGAGATTTTTAAACTAGGGTACATCCTGAGTTGAGTGATAGAAGTCATTGTCCAGAAACCTTGTCTTATTATTATTTTTTGGAGATAAGGTCTCACTCTGTCACCCAGGCTGGAGTGCAGCAGCACAATCTCGGCTCACTGCAACCTCTGCCTCCTGAGCTCAAGGATCCTCCCGCCCCAGCCTCCCAAGTAGCTGGGACTACAGGCATGCACCACTGTGCTGGTCTAATTTTTTTGTATTTTTTGTAGAGACGGAGTTTTGCCATATTGTCCAGGCTGGTCTTGAACTCTTGGGCTCAAGCAGTCCGCCCACCTCAGCCTCCTAAAGTGCTGGCATTGCATTATAGGCATGAGCCACCACACCTGGCCGACCTTTTTTTATGAAGGAGATTTGAAGCAGATTACAGTTTTGGTTTGCAGAAGAGACGACTCAGAATATAACCCTCTTCTAATATTACATGGGTGCCAAATAGATACAGGATTTGATCTAATTTTATAAAGTCCCAGTGATCAGAACTGAGATCAGTGGACAGAAATTATTGGGAGGTAGAGTTTGGTTTGATAAAAAGAACTTTCTATAATAATTTGAATGGTAATTTTTATTGGGCAATTGCAATACGTCACACAGTGAGCTAAGCACTTTTCAGACAGCGTCTCACATTTAATTCTCACAGCATCCTTGTCATGTGGGTACTTTTTAGTCTCAATTTATAGATAAGGATACTGTTGTTTAGAGATAAGGATTTGTCCAGTGTTGTGCAGCTAAGAAGTGGCTGAGCAGCTGTTCTTAATCTGGATCTGACTGTTCTCAAAAGTCTATGTCTGTAACCTTTTTGCTGCCTTGCATAGTATTAAACTATCTTAATTACTAGAAATGTTTAAGCAGAACTGGAATGATTCTTTGTAACTTGGAATAAATTCCTGCAATTCATGAGAGTGCAGAGGGGCAGTGTGGCATGATAGGAAAAAGCACAGACTTTGGAGATAATTCAGAGATCGAAAACGTCGTATATTGGCCTTAGGATCTTGGTCAAGTCACCTAACCTCTTTGGATCACATTTTCCTCATCTCTAAAAGGGACACTAATACCTCTACCTCAGAAGGTTATTGGGAGGATTAATTTATTTGAGTAGTGTGTATTTGTTACATATTGGGGACTCAACAAATAATTGCTGTGTGCAGAAATCCCTTTAACTTAAACAATTATGATCGTTGGACTTAGAGCTGCACCATTTTAGCTTTGTCTCTATTTTTTTTTTTTTTTTTTTTTGAAATGAAGTCTCACTCCATTGCCCAGGCTGGAGTGCTGTGGTGCAATCTTGGCTCACTGCAACCTCTGCCTCCTGGGTTCAAGCGATTCTCATGCCTCAGCCTCCTGAGTAGCTGGGATTACAGGCTCACACTACTACGCCCAGGTAATTTTTGTATTTTTAGTAGAGGCGGGGTTTCACCATGTTGGCCAGGCTGTTCTTGAACTCCTGACTTCAGGTAGATCTGCCCGCCTTGGCCTTCCAAAGTGCTGGGATTATAGGTGTGAGCCATCGCGCCCGGCCTTTGTCTCTATTTTTGAACATTAGAATTACATTATCTCTCATATAATACATGCTAATATACCAATTAGAACAGAAGTTTTGATTGCTAGACTTGATTTTGTTTACAATTTGGTACAGATCAGGTGTGTATGTTTACTTTTTATGGTTTTTCTTTCATTCCCCTTGCTGATAGCAAGTAGCAGCTACTGTCAGCTTGGAAACCAAAATAAAATCAATAGCCCTCGGCCGGGTGCGGTGGCTCATGCCTGTAATTCCAGCACTTTGGGAGGCTGAGGTGGGTGGATCACTTGAGGTCAGGAGTTCTAGACTACACTGGCCAACATGGTGAAACCCTGTCTCTACTAAAAATACAAAAATGAGCCTGGTATGGTAGTGCACACCTGTAATCCCAGCTACTCGGGAGGCTGAGGCAGGAGAATCACTTGAACCCAGGAGGCAGAGGTTGCAGTGAGCTGAGATCATGCCACTGCACCCCAGCTTGGGTGACAGATTGAGACTCTATCTCAAAAAACAAACAAACAAAAGACAAACCAATAGGCCTCTGAGGCAGTCTGAAGGGCTTCCTGTTATTAAAATACACAGGAATTAATACATGGGATTTAACTATTTTGGTGACCTGTAGGCCATTTTTGGTTTTCCCTGTTTCTTGGCTGTTCAGGGAGTTGGAATTATTAAATAAGTAAGATATAACTGGATGTCACATAATTTTTGCCGCCCTTTAAAAAAAAAAAATTTAAAGAGACAGAGTACGTTGCCTGGGCTGAACTCAAACTCCTGGGCTCAAGTGTCTGCCTTGGCCTCCTGAGTAGCTGGGACTACAGATGTATTCCATCTTGCCAGGCTGATTTTTGCTCCTGAGGATTACAATCTAGTATAGAAAACAAACCTCATGGTTGACTTAAAGTGTAGGATTTTACAAGCATAGTGTTCATTTAGTAGTGTATAATGGTATCATACCTTCTGTGTGGAGTGCCTGTTTCCCATGTGCCAAGTGCTACACTGGTTGTACTTCATACAGGACCTTTGCAAGTCTTCAAAAACAATCCTATGAGGGAAATATTAACATCATCCACATATAGATAATGCTGAGCTACAGAGAGGTTAGACAACTTGCTCATCTTCCAAAAAGATTTAAACTCAGGTCTGTCATAGTCCAAAGGCCGGATGGTTTTTACCACAGGGGAAGAGGTGGACCATAGTCATAGGAAACAACTGTATATAGAGAGGAATGATTAATTGAGCTGAACCTAAAAGGACAGGTGGGGTTTTGGTGTGATGTGTTAGGTTGGGTTGGGAAGGTGGATGAAGGAGTTCTGGGCTGGCAAGAGAGTCTGAGCAAAGTGGGTCTGAATATCCTGCATTGAGGAGATGGGGTGGTGGCAGAGTGATCACTCTGTGACCAAAGAGAAGGCTGCAATTTGAGAGGGAGTAAGAGGATGAGACAATTATTATTATTATTATTATTTTGAGAAAGAGTCTCTCTCTGTCACCCAGGCTGGAGTGCAGTGGTGTGATCTCTGCCACTGCAGCCTCCGCTTCCCAGGTTCAAATGATTCTCTTGTCTCAGCCTCCCAAGTAGCTGGGAATACAGGTGCGTACCACCACACCCAGCTAATTTTTTTTTTTTTTTTTTTTTTTGTATTTTTAGTAGAGATGGGGTTTCACCATGTTGGCCAGGCTGATCTCGAACTCCCGACCTCAAGTGATCCACCTGCCTTGGCCTCCCAGCGTGCCGGGATTACAGGGGTGAGCTACCATGCCCGGCAAGGTGGGAAAATTAGGTTAGGGCCAGATTTGGAGGCTCCTAAAGGATAGGGAAAGGAATTTGAAGTTGATGCCATAAGAACGTGATTGTAGTTTTGTTTGTTGCAGTAGGGAGCAGGGTATTAACATGTTGACAGCTGCGCTTTTTGAATGAATTGGTATGACAGTGGCCAAAGATGGACAATGCAGTTAGGAGATTGTTGTAGTTTCCTAGTGATGAGCTGATGAAAGCCTGGGCTGGGGTGGGGATAGTGGAAGGAGGAGCAAACTTGAGAGGCATTTTCAAGGAAGAAATGACAGGATTTGGCAAATTGGGTGCCAGGAATAAAAAGACGGGGAAATAGCCATAGGGTTGCTTGATTGAGGGAGCAGAATAATGGCAGAATGGGGAAGGGAGATTAATTTTGTTTGTTTGTTTGTTTCTTTTGGAGATGGAGTCTGGCTCTGTTGCCCAGGCTGGAGTGCAGTGGCACCATCTCGGCTCACTCCGCCCCCTGGGTTCAAGCGATTCTCCTGCCTCAGCCTCCCGTGTAGCTGAGATTACAGGCCCACATTACCACGCCCAGCTAATTTTTGTATTTTTAGTAGAGATGGGTTTCATCATGTTGGCCAGGCTGGTTTCAAACTCCTGACCTCAAGTGATCTGCCCGCCTCGGCCTCCCGAAGTGCTAGGATTACAGGTGTGAGCAACCGTGCCCAGTGGGAGATTAATTTTGAATTTTGGCCTTGTGGCCTTGCAAAACCACAACTAGTAGGAGCCGTTTCACTGATGCATACTCAATGCTCCCTAGCCTAGCATCCGCACAATGCCTTTTCTGGCCATGGCGGAGAGCACTTCAAAAGGAGGCCCTGCGGAGGGTGGGGTGGGTAGAGGAGCATGGTAGGGAATGGGAGGGGCAGGTGTCTTCCAAAGTTTGCAGTTCTCCTAACTTGTTTTGCCCTAGGTCCGCTGAATGCAGTATTACAGTCATGGCAAATGTCACCGTACTGATGTGCTTAACATAGATGTAATGTTTTCTAGAGGGTACGCTAAAACTCTTGGAGGGAGTGGGGGGTGGGGGTTATAAATCTTTATGTTATTTTTCTGTTAATGTCAAGGAACAGTTCATCCTTCTGGGTCTGTATGTTTAAACTGAGAGTGAATATTAATAGGAATTTACGGTACTCATGTTGGAAATTGCTACCCTCATTTAGAAACCATTAACCTTTATGTTAATAAAATAATGTTTTTAAATGAGCATATGAAATCTGTGTTGAACAGCTGCGGTCTTTCCGGAACACTAACTTAAAAAATGCTCAGCATACTTTTTGAAAATCAAAAGCATGTGGGTGGGATGAAGTCACCTGAGCAATTTTCTATAATTACAACTTTCAAGGCCTTTTCCTTTGTCTTTTTCCAGCTAACCTAAAATACACATGCACGCATGTGCACCCTCACACAGACAGCAGCACAAACCTGTGATTTTCTTCTTTCTCTCTATGGACTTTTTGGCCTTGTTTTTGTTAAATAGTTGCAGTTCCCTAGGAGGATATGTGTTGTCTTGTTCCTTCTCTAGTTTATTTGAAACCTTATATCTTTGAGAACTTTGGAACTCCCCAGAACAGGCTAGATGTCCACCTAGACTCCCAAGCTTTGAATGCCCTGTCCTAAAGTATTTCTAGGTGCGTTGGATCTAAACTGATTCCCCTAGGGTGACAGTGGAAACCCCAAAATGCCGACATCCTAGAGAATGACCAGGAACATGCTCAAGTTGTTACACAGTTTTTTGTACGTGCTGAGGTTCCTCAGTGCCATCCTGGTCAGCCAGTACTGGAATGTGACAGAACTGGCATTTGTGCCCAGGAACAGCCTACGCTGGGAATTCGCTTCTGCATTCTGATAATTAAGTCTGCTGTGCTGCTAATATTGTTCCCTGAAGGAAGGAGAGCTAGGGAATAATATCATTCCCACTTGTACCTTTTAATTAACAGAGGAGTGGAATGGAAAGAGTTTTAAAGAAGACTTTGATGAGAGAAGATCGGTACCTGACATAGTCTGGTAATTCCATCATTGTCGAACACATTTTAAGAATACCACCGCCAGTTTTTTCAGTGAGCTAACTGAAAATAATTCTAAACTTTGGCTTATTTTATGTGTAGAATAAAATTATTGATTTTCCAAGAGCATTCATTAAGAAGTGCCTTGCTAAGAAGTGTTAAGCGTGAAGTAGTGTAATATGTCTGTCCTACTATTTTAGG
This sequence comes from Homo sapiens, assembly GCF_000001405.40. Taxonomy (NCBI): domain Eukaryota; kingdom Metazoa; phylum Chordata; class Mammalia; order Primates; family Hominidae; genus Homo; species Homo sapiens. The sequence goes on from NW_011332696.1 coordinate 366,826, forward strand.
GGTCACTCCTTCTTCATCTTCCTCTTCTCTTTCCTCTAAGTAACCAAAGCTCTTCACCTAGAATGGAATTTGGGGCTTACATTTTCCTTACTATCATATAGCTGTTTCTTGTTACCGAAAGCAGAGAGAGCTTTTTCAGGGAGGTTAAAATTATCGTTATCTTGTTATAGTGTTATTTTTTCCTTCTTAGTAAGTTAGGAGCAATGCTTTGTCTTCCTGAAGCTGTCTGAAAAGATGCTTGTATACATGTGTATAGCGCTTTGGGTCATAGAAATTAGGTGTTATGTCATCTGTTTCAGAAGATGCACTAATGCATCAAAAACAAGTGACAGGGAAAACAATGCAGTGAGTAATCTTGTTGCCTCAAAACTGAGCAAACGTTTTGGGAGAGCAAGTTCTTGCGGGACATCACTAAATAAGAATGAGTTGATGTCACACTTGGCAAGAAGCAACTCTTTAAAATTTTTTTTTTCCATACAAATAGTACAACATGACTGGGAGGAGGGATTGTGGGCAAAGGGTAAAGAATTATGGAGGGAAAATGAGCAGGAGAAGGAATGTGAGAATGAGCTGCTTGCTACAAAAATAATTAATATGTAATCAAAGCCATGTTTGTTTTGTCAGGAAAAATCTGAGTCAGAACATGAGCTGATGAAGGGGAGAGATGTTTACCATGTCCTCCCCCACACCCTCAGAGGGCCGTTGTGTGCAGATCCCTGCGGAGGGTTGTGTAACCATCTTGACTCATTTTCAGGGAAGAATGGCCCCTGTAGCTCTTTTGGCTCAATATAATGCTGCATCAAGGATGAGTGAAGAAGTCTCTGGAATACAGTGCTATCAAACTCAAAATATGGTCATTTTAATGAGAATTTCCAAACACTAGGAGGCAATACTGTGCAGACCTTGTGCCACCACCTGCCTCCCCCTTCCCAGATATCTGTGCGATATTGGGAATTCAGGCAGCCCAATCGATAGCTGATTTTACCTTTTCCTACAAGGCAGAAAATGTCAAGATTAGCCAACTATTTATTGAAATTAGTTGGAGTTATCTGGCTACATGAGTGTCTGTGGTCCAGTGTATCATAATAAGAGTGGGAGAGACGGTTGGGGTGCTACTGGCATCTTGGGTGGGCCAGCCTTTATTGTGTGTCACTGCCGTGTATTGGCAATTTTTGTCCCTGCCCACTGAATTGCCAGTGGTGCCCCAGTCTCTGCGATGGCCAGGAGAGGCCTTCCTTCTTCCAGATTACCTCTGTGTGTTTCAGGGGGGCTAAAACAGTATGTGTTTTACAGTATTACTAAGCAGCACAGTTTTCTTTGTTGTTCCTTAGCATAAAGATCTTGGAAAGTTTTAAGAAGTTGTGTGTTTATACTGTAGCATAGGTTTCATTCAACCTATCACTCCTATTCACTCCTCAGAGTGAATTTCAGGGAAAAACAACAGTATTGGGGGAAAAAGTTTGGAAAAATTGGATGGAGGGAAGGAAAAAAAAAGGTGAATTGCAAAAGGGTTTCTTACGTAGCCCACTATTGTTCCCCAAATCAACACTCACTCTCCAGCTCTTTGGGTGGTTGCTCTGCATTTTCAAGAGGCAGCCTGGGGTGGAGGTCAGGGTTGCAGGTAAGGTAGAGGGGAAATAAGAGAGGACAGGGAAGAGGCAGGCATGAATAAAAGATTTGGATTGGAATATAAAGATGGAATACAATGGAGATAATGAAAGACCATAACAAAGAAACAGGAGATTTTACATGGCATTGTTAAGCTTACAATGTTGGCATTTTGGGGACAATTCTGAGTACCACAGATCTAGAACTTCTAAAAGAAAAACCCTCTGAGATAATTACAGCAGTTAAAGACCTTCACATACATGTTGAATTAATAGTATTTAATGTCCCTTTGTAGGTTTCAATCTTTTAAGCCTGTCCTGCCAAAGACTGTGTCCTTCTAGGTGCTTAGCCAGTAATTTAGGTGTACTGTCACCAGTTGTTTCCGTCATGACTTCTAAGTCTCAGCAGCCATTTTCCCTTAGGTTTTATTAACTGAGTCAGTAACTCAAAGTGTCATTGTTTTCCACTCATCTGGACTTTCTGAAAATAACACAGTGCTTTATTGGAAAAGCTAAGCATAGACATTAGCCAAATGTTTGCTAAAAATTAACCAAATTAAATGTTATTAAATAAGATGTGCAAATAGAGGAAAATTTTGAGAAGTATGAACAAATCCCACTAATCTTTGTTGTCAGTCACTACTTAGAACCTTGGCTTCGCACCAAGGCTGAATTAAGTTGAAGAATGTTTTCCGTAATGCTTCCCCTACCTTTTAAGTTGGTTTGAAAACATTCAGTTGCATGTGTACCACTGGATTTTTAGCTTTTTCACTAGTTGTTACCCTGGCAGCCTTGATTCAGTGAAAATCTTGTTTTTATCACAGGCTATTTCTCTGAGCAGCCAATGTTTCACGCTCTCTCCCTGTCTAATTGTCTGGCCTTGGTAACTCTTAGCAAGAGTTGAAATTACCTCGGTCAACCACATGACAAAAGAGTGGGCATGGGTTTTCCTGAATGTCTCCTGAGGTGACCAAGGGTGGAGTGGTGGTAGCATAATAAACCCCATGGGAAGTGGAGCCATAGATTCCATCAGCTTTGCAGAGGGGCCTTAGACCCAGCAGGGTTTAAGAAACTGCTGTGGATAGGATGCCTTGTCCTCCATAGAGATTATCAGCTGCTACCTAGAATTTCTTTTTCATTTGCAGTATGTCAGCATACAGAAAAAAAAAAAAAAATAGCAAACACCTGTGTATTCATCAAATTTGTCATATTTTAATATTTTGCCATGTTTGCTTCAGATCTCTTTCCCTGCAGGAAGAAAAATACACGTTTCAAATAAACAACGCCCCCTCCCCATCCTTTATATCCTTCCCTGATATTCCCTCCTCCTCCCACTCCACAGGGAATTATTGATCTGATTTTGGCATTCATCATGCCCATGTGTTTTCTTCGTGGCTTGTCTTTTTCCTACATGTTTTTGTATATCTAAGCGGTGTAGAATATTCTTTCACTTGTTTTGACTTTATATAAGTTGTGTTCTATATGTATCCTTCAGCTACTTGTGTAACTTTCTTTTTTCTTTTCCTTATAATTTTGAGATTTATCCATGTTGATATATGTCTCACTTATTTTCACTGCTGCGTAGTATTCCATCAAATGAATATTTCACAGTGTATCCATTGACTTATTAGTGAATATTTGAGTTGTTTCCAGTTGTTTTACTATTAAACAGTTTTGCAGTGGACATCTTTGTACATGTCTCCTTTTGCACATGTATGAGAGTTTTCTCTAGGGTATGTAACTAGGAACAAATTGCTGTCTAGTAGGGCACATGTATTTTCAGCTTTACTAGATACAGTCAATTTACTCTTCAAAGTAGTTATGCTCTTTTATCGCCTTACTAGCTATATATTAGAGTTCCTGTTGTTCCACATCCTCAGTAAAACCGGATATTGTCCCAGCTGTTCCTTGCTTATTGATTAATTTAAAGACAACATCGTGCTTAGCAACCATCTCAAACATAGGGTCAGATGCAAACTTAATTTTCTTATACCATGCTTCTTCCTTTTAAAAGAATTGTTTTGATTTCTGAGTTACAAATCCAAGATAACTATAACATAGCTTTTTTGCCATATTTATTTTTTTAATAATTTTTTTTCTGATCACGAAATGAATATATGATTATTTTAAGGAACTTGGAAAACAAAATGACAAAAAAGAAAATTAAAAATTCTACCTAGACATAGCCATTGTTAATAACTTGCTATATTTTTCCTTCTAGTGTAGACCTATGTAAAGTATACATTTACTTTATAATTAAAATTTGTCATTTTATATCACAATTTTACTTAAAATTCTATTGTGGCATTTCCCATGTCATTGGATATTGTTTGAAAACATCATCTAAGGCCAGGAGCGGTGGTTCACGCCTGTAATCCCAGCACTTTGGGAGGCCAAGGCGGGCGGATCACGAGGTCAGAAGATCGAGACCATCCTGGTTAACATGGTGAAACCCTGTCTCTACTAAAAAAAAAAAATACAAAAAAATTAGCTGGGCTTGGTGGTGGGCGCCTGTAGTCCCAGCTACTCAGGAGGCTGAGGCAGGAGAATGGCGTGAACCCGGGAGGCGGAGCTTGCAGTGAGCCAAGATGGCGCCACTGCACTTCAGCCTGGGCTACAGAGCGAGACTCCGTCTCAAAAAAAAAAAAAAAAAAAGTGTAAACAGCTGGATAACATTTCTTTTTGTAAATATAAATATAGTTTAATCATTCTCCCATTGGAGGACATTTTGGGTATTAAAATGATACTGGAGTACAAAATCTTGGTGCATAAATTTCATCTGAGTTTGTTTCTTTGGGATAGATTTCTAGAAGCCAGTAACTATTCATGGAATTAGATTGGATAGCTGATAAAAGCAGGGCATCAAGGGAGAAAAAAGAGTTGAGAGAGCAAAACAACATGCTTAAGGATCATGAGATTCGTGAATTCAGCTTCTGTCATATTTGAATTGAGTGGCAAATTTGTCTCTTACCTGAATTTGGAGACCCTTCTCTAATTAGGGATGATTATTAGAGGGAAATTCTGCCCTACTGTGGACACCAGAGAGTTGGTTGTGTGTTGTAGTGTTCAAGAGTTTTATCCAATATTCTGCTTCCTGCAGAGTTCCTGAATTGAGGGTCTTTTGTGGAATATCTCATTGAAGTAGACTTTTAACCTTGACTTGCTCAACATCTGATCAGAAGCAGCTCGTTGTCATATAAGGAAATCTGCTCTGTTATGGAACATCTTTGAGTAGTTGAGTTCCCCTTTTTCCCATAAGTCCAAATTTGATTCCCTGTCACCTTCAATTGTTCTTTAACTTGTTTTTAAACAAAAGTCTCCCTAAAAATAATTCCAGAAGTATTTGAACTTTATTTCTCTATTAGCTTCTACTGTAATTAACATGAAAACAAACATGTTTTAAAGTCTTTGTTTCCTTCTAAGGTATAATTTAGCTTTATCACGTCTTCATAGTGAAAGTTGTATACGTGAACGTTGGTAGGATAGAAAAACTTTCCACATAGTTTTATACTTGGTGCCCAGAAAACTTCCAAAGTGTTTAGGTACTACTCATTATTATTTCTTAGAAATTGAATAGAAGCAGTGGCTTGAGTATACACAGTCCCACTTTTTCGTTAATAATAACCACATTTCCCTTTTTTTTTTTGCACAAAAGTGTTACATGTATTTTCTCGTTTAATCCTTGTACAACCTATTAGGGTAGGTATTTTCCTCATTTGGCAGATGAGGGTGCTGAGGCTCAGAGAGATGAAAGACCTTTCCTGTCACACAGCTATTAAGGGCAGAGCTAGGATTTAAACTCAGATCTAATTCTAAAACCTGTATATTTAACTAGTTTGCACATCTGTCTCCCTGACTTAATTGCATCATAAAATCAAAGATATTTCTCTTCAAAATATGTTCATGTTGGATTATTTGGCTGTTTCACTGTTAGAGGTCTGTTGCTTCTGCTGGCTTTTCTGTGGCAATCCCAGCTGCTCTTCCCCGTGGCTTGGGCACACCAAGGATTTCCTTTCTGTGATTGCCCCATATCTCCCTAGTCCGCTGTGGGGGGCACCTTCCTGCTTCTGAGGAAACTGAAGCAGGAGATGAGGAAAGGGTAACAATTAATTACATACTTTTTTTTCCCGAGTATTATCAACTAACATGTTCCATAAAGGAGCATGTTTTCACAGCTGTGTGCTTTAGAAACAGGGAGAAAGGTTTGAGTTTTTATGACTGAGGTATCTTCAACAAAGGCTGTGATGTACACGCTTGATGGACTTGGAACGTGGAAACCCATTCCCTCCCTCAGCCCTGGGATTGGAATCTTTGTGTTTATGGTCACATGAGTATTCAGATATGTTATCTCTGAATGTGATGCCCTGGTCAGAGAACCAAGGAGTGGACTTGCTAGATTATATGATTTAATTACCCTAGATCAATCAAGCTTTGACTTACTGATGGCAGGATATATTGTGTATTTTTTCCTAGTTGCTAGAGGAAAGGAACAAAGTTTAATCCTTGGCTTTGTTGACCTTTGGTATCACTTTTATCTTGTAGTTCCGTATAACTGCCTTTGTAGACTCTTCAAAAGGCTGAAGGCAAGTGATTTATAGATAAGGGCTCATTCAGTACTTGCACAAGAAGAGCCCATATCTTCAAATATGGGTGACGTAAATTTACTTCAGAAACAGAAATGAGCTCATTTATTTGGAGAGATGTGAACAGAATGTGCGTCTTTTGCTCCGGGTGAGAAATAAATTTAAATTCAGAACTTTGCTTGGGGGAAATGAAATGGAGGAACTAGGCACTTGAGCCTCTTGGAAATTAGAGATCTTTAGCCAAGGCCCAAGGGAGCACTGTCTTGGTCCATTTATAACAAAATACTGGAGACTGGGTAATTTATAAAGAACAGAAATTTATTTCTCACTGTTCTGGAGGCTGGGAAGTTCAAGATTAAGGTTTGTTGAGTGCTGCGTCTTCTAGAGTGGATGAACACTCTGCCCTCAACTGGCAGAAGGAGAATGGGCAAAAAACAGGAGTAACTCCCCTGCTGAGCCCTTTTGTAAGGGCAGCTAATCCCATTTACCCAGAGAGGAGCCCTCATGGCCTAACCACCTCTTAAAAGCCCCACCTCCTATTACTGTCATTGGCAACACCTGCATTTTGGAAGGGACCCATTCAAACCATAGCAAGCACCAATAGTATGTTTCAGAACTCATCCACATAGGAGCACTCCTCAGCATGTCCAACAGCAGTCTGTGGAGAACTACTTTTTTGTTTTGGTTTGGTTTTTTGTTTTCTTTTTTGTGACACAGTCTCTGTTGCCCAGGCTGGAATGCAGTGGCATCATCTCAGCCCACTGAAATCTCTGCCTCCTGGGTTCAAGTGATTCTCCTGCCTCAGCCTCCCAAGTAGCTGGGATTACAGGTGCCCGCCACCACACCTGGCTAATTTTTTTGTATTTTTATTACAGATGGGCTTTCACCATGTTGGCCAGGCTGGTCTCAAACTCCTGGCCTCAAGTGATCCACCCACCTCGGCCTCCTAAAGTGCTGGCATTACAGGCATGAGCCACCGCGCCCGGCCAGAGAACTACTTTGTGTAAGTCTACGAGGCACCATACACACTTTTTCCCTTAAGGACCTTACTGAGTAACTGGGAAGAGAGAGCAGGAATGTCAACAATAATACAGAAGAAGGGTTCTATGGTAAATGCCGAAAGTGAACCTTCAACGAAGTGAGTTCCAGAGAGACAACCCATAAAGGTAAAGATTTAGTCATAAATGAGCTGTGTTGCTACTGAAAACATCTTGATTCTAAAGTATAACCACATCTCAACCAAGCAAAAACTGTCTTAAGCCTGAATTAAGAGGAAAATGATATTTTAAATGAACTCCTCAAGTAAGTTGCCAAATCATTGACACTAGAATTTTAAGAATTGGTGACTCTAGAGCTTTCATGGTTTGGCTACTGTATTATCTCCCTCAAGGTGCAGTAATATTTCTGTCACCAAAAATCATTAATTGATAACATTATTCTTTCTGTTAGTTCTAGCACTTATTTCCATCACTGTGATTTTTTTATTATGATGATTATTTTTACTTTACTTACTTAGTATAGGGGATTACCTGCCTTTTAATGTCATCCTGACAATTAAGACAAAATACAGAACATGCTTAGCACAGTGCTTGGCTGAGAGAGTGCCATCATTAATATTAGGCATTATTTTTCTTATTCTTGAAATACAGTGTTTTATATAGTGCCTGGCATGTAGTTAAATTTTAGTAAATTATAATAATGTTGTTTATTGTTTTCCAAAGGATTTTTAACATGTATTATCAATTAATACTCTGAGCTACATTCAAGGTATATAGTGCTATTCCTCTTTTACTAATACAGAAACTGAAGTTAAGTACATTGGTCAGATTTTTCTGGCTGATTTAAGCAGATAAAGAAATTATTAAAAGGAATGTGGATAGCTCACAGAATCAGCAGAAGAGCTCTAGAATCGTGTTTTGGGCTACCTAGCCAAGTAAAATGGCCAAGATCATGCCACAGAACTGAGCCACTGCCAAGTACCTGCCGTGCCTTGCACGGCAAACAATGCTGGCTGGCATTGGTGACCGGACTTTGCCACAGGGATTGCTTCTACTGCTCCCTTGGAAACTGTTTTACAGAAACTGCTGTCACCAAGGAATGTACTTCATGGAAGGCCCTATTTTGCAACATTTGCCCCCTATTTACAGTCTGGAGTGGGTGGCAATTTGCTTTATTGCCAACTCATTGTGTCTTAACTCTCTGTGAAAGAAATACTTCGTTTATATTTTCTTTTAATTGGATATAAACTGAGTAGAAGTTGAGATTATTTTCCTTATTAGTAGACTTCGTGTGTGGAAAAGTTAGTTTTTTCTGAAATTGATCTTGTTCTTAGCAATTATCTGCTATAAGTATTGCCTCAACTTTTTAGGCTACTACTAAATGAGAACTTTCCATCTGATCAGGGCGTCTTCTCCAGTGTAAACAATCCTGTTTCCCATTACCCATTGGAGCTAAGGAACCCATGATGAGTTAACACGTGCAAGAAGGGTTACCCCTTTGAGCAAGAAAAGTCCTGGCATTAGTATTTCAGATTTTTTTCTTGCATCCTTTTCTGATATTTTATTTATTTTCATTTAAAGTGGACCTATGGTTTATCTTGCTGAAAATCTCAAAAAACCAAAAAACAAACAAACAAAAAAAAAACGTGTCAGGTCCCTAATGTGATTGCTGTTAACCATATAAAAATAACCTCCCCTCTTTTATAATCAGTCTTGGTGCGCCTTGCAAAGCCTACATTTCTAACCTGTGTATACTTCAAACTACTGTGAGCATGTGTTAAACACCTTTTTTTTTTTAAATAAAAAGAACACTTTCAGCTCCTTAAAGCAAGCTCTTTTGGGAAGGAAAGAATCCCTGAGTGCTGCAGCCATCCATCCTGCTTTGTCTGGAAAGCTAAGGTTTTTGGGTTATTGATGTTTCAACAAGTGGAGAGCACCTAGGTCTGGTGAGCACCAGCTGCTGAAGTGTGGGGGGCACCCAAGTGGCCTGTTCTTCCAGGATGGCATTCATTCTTCCAGGCAAGTGGGACAAAGTGGGCTTTCTGCCTTCACTCAGTGAGAGCTGTTGAAAGATTTTCTCATCTGAATTGTGAATGTTTGTAATGTTTATTTTCACAGTAAGAGTGAGGGCCTTCTCACTTTGAATATATTCCTTTTTGCAAATAATTTTGAAGTAGTCCTGATCCTGTGTTAAAAGAAACATGGTATGTCATTATAGAAGAATCCTTCATCCCCCTTCCCTTACAAACATAAAATTTTCAGAGTTTACATTTGGAAGAAAACCTGGTTCAATTCTCTCCATTTTCAGGGAAGGAAATGGAATTTATTCTTTCCTTTGTTTATCCTTTTATAGTTTTCATTTTGTTCCCTGTTGGTCACATTTTTTTTTTTGGCCTTCTTATTAGAGGGGTATTGTGGAATATTTTTGCTTAGCAAAAATTAAAATCAACATACCTGACTTTGTAATTGTAAAATATGTATAACATACAATTTATCATTTTAATCCTTTTTGAGTGTACAATTCAGTGGCATTAAGTATATTCACATTGTTGTGCAGTATCATGACCTTCCATCTCCGGAACTTCTCCGTTATCCCAAATTGAAGTCTATTAAATAGTAATTTCCCAATCTCTACCCTCAGCCCTGACAAACATTATTATTCTACTTATTTTCGCCATGAATTTTACTATTCTTTTTGTTTTTTTTTTTTTTTGAGACAGGGCCTCACGCTGTCACCCAGGCTAGAGTGCAGTGGCACGATCTTGGCTCACTGCGACCTCCCTCTACCTTACAGGCTCAAGTGATCCTCCCGCCTCAGCCTCCTGAGTAGCTGGGACCTCAGGTGCACACCACCACGCCTGGCTAATTTTTGTATATTTTGTAGAGACGGGGTTTCACCATGTTGCCCAGGCTGGTCTCAAACTCCTAGGCTCAAGGGATCCTTCCACCTCGGCCTCCCAAATGCTGGGGTTACAGGTGTGAGCCACCGCGCCTGGCCAAATATTACTATTCTGTATGTTTCTTGTAAATTGAATCATACAGTTTTTGTCCTTTTGTGTCTGGCATACTTCAGTTTACCACAATTTTTTCAGGTTCCATCTGTATTCTAGCATGTACCAGAATTTCATTCTCTTTTTTAAGGCTGAATTCTATTATGTGTATATACCACATTTTGTTTATCCTTTCATCCATTGATGGACATTTGGGTTGTTTCTACTTTGGCCATTGTGAATAATGCTGCTGTGAACATTGATACATAAATATCTGTATGAGTCCCTGCTTTCAGTTCTTTTGGGTGCATACCCAGAGGTGGAATTGCTGGGTCATGTGGTAATTCTATGTTTATTTTTTTTCCTCCCTTGTAATTACCCACAATGTGGTAAAATACACTTGACATGAAATTTACCACTGTAACTATTTTTAAGTATAAGTTCAGTGGTATTAAGTACATTGAGATTGTTGTGTGACCATCACCACTGTCCATTTCCTGAATGTTTTTCATCTTGCAAACCTGAAACTCTATATCCGTTAAACAGCAACTTCCTATCCTCTCTTCCTCCCAGCCCTGGTAACCACTGTTCTACTTTCTTTCTCTATGATTTTGACTTTTCTGTGTACTTCATATAAATGGAATCATTCAGTGTTTGCTTGTGACTGGCTTACTTCACTTAGTGTAATGTCCTCAAGATTCACCCATGTTGTTGCATAGGTCAGAATTTTCTTTTAAAGGCTGAATACCACATGTGTATATATATAGAAAAATATTATTCAGTCTTAAAAGGGAATTCCTTTTTAAGGAATGCCTCATTTTGCTTATCCATTCTTCTATTGATGGAAATTTGAATTGTTTCCATGTTTTGGCTATTGTAAATCATGTTCTTTGAAAATGAGTGTACAAATGTCTCTTTGAGACCCTGCTTTTGATTCTTTTGGGTATATACTCAGAAGTGGAATTGCTGGATCATATAGTAATTTTACATTTAATTTTTTGAGGAACCACCACACCCCTTTCGCCAGCGGCTATGCTATACCATGTTACGTCTCCACCAATAGTGAGTAAGGGTTCTACATCTTTGCCATCATTTTTTTTTGTTTGTTTTTGATACTAGCCATCTTAATGGGTGTGAGGGGGCATCTCATTTTAGTTTTGAATTGCCCTTCCCTAATGATTAGGGATGTCAGGAATTCTTTTTATCTATTTATTTATTTTTTATTTTATTATTATTATACTTTAAGTTTTAGGGTACATGTGCACAACGTGCAGGTTTGTTACATATGTATACATGTGCCATGTTGGTGTGCTGTACCCATTAACTCGTCATTTAGCATTAGGTATATCTCCAAATGCTATCCCTCCCTCCTCCCCCCACCCCACAACAGTCCCCGGTGTGTGATGTTTCCCTTCCTGTGTCCATGAACACATGGACACTTATTGTTCAATTCCCACCTGTGAGTGAGAACATATGGTGTTTGGTTTTTTGTCCTTGCAATAGTTTGCTGAGAATGATGGTTTCCAGCTTCATCCATGTCCCTACAAAGGACATGAACTCATCATTTTTTATGGCTGCATAGTATTCCATGGTATATATGTGCCACATTTTCTTAATCCAGTCTATCATTGTTGGACATTTGGGTTGGTTCCAAGTCTTTGCTATTGTGAATAGTGCTGCAATAAACATACGTGTTCATGTGTCTTTATAGCAGCATGATTTATAATCCTTTGGGTATATACCCAGTAATGGGATGGCTGGGTCAAATGGTATTTCTAGTTCTAGATCCCTGAGGAATCGCCACACTGACTTCCACAATGGTTGAACTAGTTTACAGTCCCACCAACAGTGTAAAAGTGTTCCTATTTCTCCACACCCTCTCCAGCACCTGTTGTTTCCTGACTTTTTAATGATTGCCATTCTAACTGGTGTGAGATGGTATCTCATTGTGGTTTTGATTTTCATTTCTCTGATGGCCAGTGATGATGAGCATTTTTTCATGTGTTTTTTGGCTGCATAAATGTCTTCTTTTGAGAAGTGTCTGTTCATATCCTTCACCCACTTTTTGATGGGGTTGTTTTTTTCTTGTAAATTTGTTTGAGTTCATTGTAGATTCTGGATATTAGCCCTTTGTCAGATGAGTAGGTTGCAAACATTTTCTCCCATTCTGTAGGTTGCCTGTTCACTCTGATGGTAGTTTCTTTTGCTGTGCAGAAGCTCTTGAGTTTAATTAGATCCCATTTGTCAATTTTGGCTTTTGTTGCCATTGCTTTTGGTGTTTTTGACATGAAGTCCTTGCCCATGCCTATGTCCTGAATGGTATTGCCTAGGTTTTCTTCTAGGGTTTTTATGGTTTTAGGTCTAACATTGAAGTCTTTAATCCATCTTGAATTAGTTTTTGTATAAGGTGTAAGGAAGGGATCCAGTTTCAGCTTTCTACATATGGCTAGCTAGTTTTCCCAGCACCATTTATTAAATAGGGAATCCTTTCCCCATTGCTTGTTTTTCTCAGGTTTGTCAAAGATCAGATAGTTGTAGATATGCGGCATTATTTCTGAGGGCTCTGTTCTGTTCCATTGGTCTATATCTCTGTTTTGGTACCAGTACCATGCTGTTTTGGTTACTGTAGCCTTGTAGTATAGTTTGAAGTCAGGTAGTATGATGCCTCCAGCTTTGTTCTTTTGGCTTAGGATTGACTTGGCAACACGGGCTCTTTTTTGGTTCCATATGAACTTTCAAGTAGTTTTTTCCAATTCTGTGAAGAAAGTCATTGGTAGCTTGATGGGGATGGCATTGAATCTATAAATTACCTTGGGCAGTATGGCCATTTTCATGATACTGATTCTTCCTACCCATGAGCATGGAATGTTCTTCCATTTGTTTGTGTGTTCTTTTATTTTATTGAGCAGTGGTTTGTACTTCTCCTTGAAGAGGTCCTTCACATCCCTTTAAGTTGGATCCCTAGGTATTTTATTCTCTTTGAAGGAATTGTGAATGGGAGTTCATTCATGATTTAGCTCTGTTTGTCTGTTATTGGTGTATAGGAATGCTTATGATTTTTGCACATGGATTTTGTACCCTGAGACTTTGCTGAAGTTGCTTATCAGCTTAAGGAGGTTTTGGGCTGAGACCATGGGGTTTTCTAGATATACAATCATGTCATCTGCAAACAGGGACAATTTGACTTCCTCTTTTCCTAACTGAATGCCCTTGATTTCCTTCTCCTGCCTGATTGCCCTGGCCGGAACTTCCAACACTATGTTGAATAGGAGTGGTGAGAGAGGGCATCCCTGTCTTGTGCCCGTTTTCAAAGGGAATGCTTCCAGTTTTTGTCCATTCCGTATCACATTGGTTCTTTCATGTGCTTATTGGCCATTTGTATCTCTTATTTGGAGAAATGTCGGTTCAAGTCCTTTGCCCATTTATGAATTGGGTTGTTTGAGGTTTTTTGTTGGGTTTTAGGAATTCTCTATATATTCTGGATATAATATACATGTATATAATAAATGTATATAATAAAATATACATGATTTGAAAGTATTTTCTGCATTTTGTGGGCTGCCTTTTTACTCTGTTGATAGTATCTTTTCATGCATAAAGTTTTAAAATTTTCATTGTCCAATCTATCTTTTTTTGTTGTTGCCAGTGCCTTTGGTGTCATACTTAAAACATTGTTGCCCAATTCAGTGTCATGAAACTTTTGCCTGCGTTTTCTCACTATAGGAAACTATAGTAAAAAACATTAAACGTTTTATTGTTTTAGATCTTACATTTAGGTCATGGATTCATTGTTAATTAACTTTTGTATATGGTAGTAGGTAAGGGTCCAACCTCATTCTTTTGCATGTGGATAGCCAGCTTTCCTAGCAGCATTTGTTGAAAAAACTGTCCTTTCCCAACTGAATGGTCTTGGTGCCCCCAACAATCATATGACTTTATATGTGAGGGTTTGTTCTGGGCCCTCTGCTCATTTCTGTGGTCCATTTGTCTGTCTTTATGTCAATGCTGCACTGTTTTGATTACTGTAATTTTAAGTTTTGAAATCAGGAAGAGTGAGTCCTCCAGCTTTGTTCTTCTTTTCAGGATTGTTTTGGCTATTCAGGATCTCTTGAGATTCCATATGAATTTTTGGATGGATCTTTCTATTTCTGAAAAAAAGTCACTGGGATTTTGATAGGGATTGCATTGAACCTGTAAATCACTTTTGGTAATATTGACATCTTAATATTAAATCTTCCAATCAATGACTATGGGGTGTCTTAACATTTGTATGTGTCCTCTTTAATTCCTTTCAGCTGTATTTTATGGTTTTTTTTATTGTACAAGTCTTTCATCTCCTTGGTTAAGTTTATTCCTAAGTGTTTTATTCTTTTTGATGCTATTGGAAATGGAATTGTTTTCTTAATTTCCTTTTTGGATTGTTCATTAGTGAATAGAAATGCAACTGATTTTTGCATGTTGACTTTGTATCCTGCCACTTTGGTGAATTTATTTATTTATTAGTTCTGATAGTATTTTTGTGGAACATTCAGGTTTTCTATATATGAGATCATATCATCCGTGAACAGACATAATTTAACTTCTTTCTTTCTAATTTCGATGCCTTTTATTTCTTCTCTTGTCTTATTGCTCTTGACAGAACTTCCATTATTATGTTGAATAGAAGTGGTGAAAACAGGCATCCTTGCTTTATTCCTGATCTTAGAGGGAAAGCTTTCAGGTCATCACCATTGAATATGAAGTTTGCTTGCATTTCTTTTATATGGCTTTTATTATGTTGAGGTAGTCTCCTTCCATTCCTTGTTTGTTGAGTGTTTTATTTGTTTGTTTTTATCAAGAAAGGGTGTTGAATTTTCTCAAATGCTTTCTCTGCATCAGTTGAAATGATTTTGTGGTTTTCTTTTTTTTTTTTTTTTTTTTTTTTTATTGATAATTCTTGGGTGTTTCTCACAGAGGGGGATTTGGCAGGGTCATGGGACAATAGTGGAGGGAAGGTCAGCAGATAAACAAGTGAACAAAGGTCTCTGGTTTTCCTAGGCAGAGGACCCTGCGGCCTTCCGCAGTGTTTGTGTCCCTGATTACTTGAGATTGGGGATTGGTGATGACTCTTTTTTTTTTTTTTTTTTTATTGATCATTCTTGGGTGTTTCTCGCAGAGGGGGATTTGGCAGGGTCATAGGACAATAGTGGAGGGAAGGTCTGGTTTTCCTAGGCAGAGGACCCTGCGGCCTTCCGCAGTGTTTGTGTCCCTGGGTACTTAAGATTAGGGAGTGGTGATGACTCTTAAGGAGCATGCTGCCTTCAAGCATCTGTTTAACAAAGCACATCTTGCACCGCCCTTAATCCATTTAACCCTGAGTGGACACAGCACATGTTTCAGAGAGCACAGGGTTGGGGATAAGGTCACAGATCAACAGGATCCCAAGGCAGAAGAATTTTTCTTAGTACAGAACAAAATGAAAAGTCTCCCATGTCTACCTCCATCCACACAGACCCGGCAACCATCTGATTTCTCAGTTTTTTCCCCACCCTTCCTGCCTTTCTATTCCACAAAACCGCCATTGTCATCATGGCCCATCCCCAATGAGCCGCTGGGCACACCTCCCAGACGGGTCGTGGCCGGGCAGAGGGGCTCCTCACTTCCCAGTAGGGGCGGCCGGGCAGAAGCGCCCCTCACCTCCCGGATGGGGCGGCTGGCCGGGCGGGGGGCTGACCCCCCCACCATCCTCCCGGACGGGGCGGCTGGCCAGGCAGAGGGGCTCCTCACTTCCCAGTAGGGGCGGCCGGGCAGAGGCGCCCCTCACCTCCCGGACGGGGCGGCTGGCCAGGCGGGGGGCTGGCCCCCCCACCTCCCTCCCGGACGGGGTGGCTGGTCAGGCGGGGGGCTGACCCCCCCACCTCCCTCCCGGACTGGGCGGCTGGCCGGGCGGGGGGCTGACCCCCCCACCTCCCTCCCGGACGGGGCGGCTGGCCGGGCAGAGGGGTCCTCACTTCCCAGTAGGGGCGGCCGGGCAGAGGCCCCCCTCACCTCCTGGACGGGGCGGCTGGCCAGGCGGGGGGCTGATCCCCCCACATCCCTCCCGGACGGGGCGGCTGGCCGGGCGGGGGGCTGACCCCCCCCACCTCCCTCCTGGACGGGGCGGCTGGCCGGGCGGGGGGCTGACCCCCCCACCTCCCTCCCGGATGGGGCGGCTGGCCAGGCGGGGGGCTGACCCCCCCACCTCCCTCCCGGACGGGGCGGCTGGCCGGGCAGAGGGGCTCCTCACTTCCCAGTAGGGGCGGCCAGGCAGAGGCGCCCCTCACCTCCCGGACGGGGCGGCTGGCCAGGCGGGGGGCTGGCCCCCCCACCTCCCTCCCGGACGGGGTGGCTGGTCAGGCGGGGGGCTGACCCCCCCACCTCCCTCCCGGACTGGGCGGCTGGCCGGGCGGGGGGCTGACCCCCCCACCTCCCTCCCGGACGGGGCGGCTGGCTGGGCAGAGGGGCTCCTCACTTCCCAGTAGGGGCGGCCGGGCAGAGGAGCCCCTCACCTCCCAGACTGGGCGGCTGGCCGGGCGGGGGGCTGACCCCCCCACCTCCCTCCTGGACGGGGCGACTGGCTGGGCAGAGGGGCTCCTCACTTCCCAGTAGGGGCGGCCGGGCAGAGGAGCCCCTCACCTCCCGGACGGGGCGGCTGGCCGGGCGGGGGGCTGACCCCCCCCACCTCCCTCCCGGATGGGGTGGCTGCCGGGCGGAGACGCTCCTCACTTCCCAGACGGGGTGGCTGCCGGACGGAGGGGCTCCTCACTTCTCAGACGGGGCGGTTGCCAGGCAGAGGGTTTCCTCACTTCTCAGACGGGGCGGCCGGGCAGAGACGCTCCTCACCTCCCAGACAGGGTTGTGGCCAGCAGAGGCGCTCCTCACATCCCAGACAGGGCGGCGGGGCAGAGGTGCTCCCCACATCTCAGACGATGGGCGGCCGGGCAGAGACGCTCCTCACTTCCTAGATGGGATGGGGGTGGGGAAGAGGCGCTCCTCGCTTCCTAGATGGGATGGCGGCCGGGCGGAGACGCTCCTCACTTTCCAGACTGGGCAGCCAGGCAGAGAGGCTCCTCATATCCCAGACGATGGGGGGCCAGGCAGAGACGCTCCTCACTTCCCAGACGGGGTGGCGGCTGGGCAGAGGCTGCAATCTCGGCACTTTGGGGGTCCAAGGCAGGCGGCTGGGAGGTGGAGGTTGTAGCGAGCCGAGATCACGCCACTGCACTCCAGCCTGGGCACCATTGAGCACTGAGTGAACGAGACTCCGTCTGCAATCCCGGCACCTCGGGAGGCCGAGGCTGGCGGATCACTCGCGGTTAGGAGCTGGAGACCAGCCCGGCCAACACAGCAAAACCCCGTCTCCACCAAAAAAAAAACGAAAACCAGTCAGGCGTGGCGGCGTGCGCCTGCAATCGCAGGCACTCGGCAGGCTGAGGCAGGAGAATCAGGCAGGGAGGTTGCAGTGAGCCGAGATGGCAGCAGTACTGTCCAGCTTTGGCTCGGCATCAGAGGGAGACCGTGGAAGGAGACCGTGGAGAGAGGGGGAGGGGGAGGGGGAGGGGCGATTTTGTGGTTTTCTTCCCTTTAGTCTTCTAATATAGGCTGTTACGTGGATTGATTTTCGTGTGTTGAATCATCCTTGTGTTCCAGGAATAAATCTCACTTGGTCATGGTGTATAATCCTTTTATATGCTCCTGAATTTGGTTTACTAGGATTTTGTTTGGGATTTTTGCATCAATGTTTGTAAGGTAAATTGGTCTACAGTTTTCTTTTCTTGTAGTGTTTTTGTCTTGCTTTGGAATCAGGGTAATGCTGCCCTCATAGATGAGTTAGGGAGTGTTTTCTCTGCTTCAATTTTTTGGGAAAGTCTAAAAAGGGTTTATGTTAGTTCTTTTAAATGGTTGGTGGAACTCACCTGTGAAACTATCAGTTCCAGGGCTTTTCTTTATCAGGAGATTTTTTTATTATGTATTCAATCTCCTTACTAATTATAGGTCTATTCAGAGTTTCTATGTGGCTTAGCCTTGGTAGGTTCTAGTTCTGTGTTTCTAGGAATTTGTCCATTTCACCTAGGTTATCTAATTTATTGCTGTACAATTACTCATAGTACCTTGTAAAGTCATTTTTATTCCCATAGAATCGGTATTAATGTACACACTTTCTCGTTTTAGTATTTGAGTTGTCTCTCTTTTTTCTTAGTTCCTCTACTCTAGCAAAAGGTTTGTCAATTTTGTTTATCTTTTTAAAGAATCAACTTTTGGTGCTGGTGATTTTCTCTATTTTTTTTTCTATTCTCTATTTTATTTATCTTTGGTCTAATCTTTCTTATTTCTATCCTTCTGCTAACTTTGGGTTTAGTTTGTTTTTCTAGTTCCTTAAGTTGTAAAGTTAGATTGCTGGTGTGAGATCTTTCTTTTTATTTTTTATTTTATTTTATTTTTTAGAGATGGGTATCACTCTGTTGCCAAGGCTAGAGTGCAGTGGTGCAATCATAGCTCATTGTAGCCTCGAACTCCTGGACTCAAGTGATTCTTCTACCTCAGCCTCCCAGTAACTGAGACTACAGACACACACCATTATGCCTGGCTAATTTTTAATTTTTATTTATTTACTTATTTTTTTAAAGAGACAGAGTCTCACTAGGTTGCCCAAGCTCTTCTCGAACTCCTGGGCTCAAGCGATCCTTCCACCTCCGCCTACTGAGTAGATGGGATTATAGATTTGAGTCACCGCACCCAACTCTTGTTTTTTAATGTAAACTTTTTTTTTTTTTTTTTTTTGAGATGGAGTCTTGCTTTGTTGCCCAGGCTGGAGTGCAGTGGCACAGTCTCAGCTCACTGCAGCCTCTGCCTCTCGGGTTCAAGCAATTCTCCTGCCTCAGCCTCCAGAGCAGCTGGGATTACAGGCAGGCGCCACCATGCCTGGCTACTTTTTGTATTTTTTTTTTTTTTAGTAGAGGTGGTGTTTCACCATGTTGGCCAGGCTGGTCTTGAACACTTGACCTCAAGTGATCCACCCGCCTTGGCCTCCCAAAGTGCTGGGATTACAGGTGTGAGTCATCCTGCCCAGCCTAATGTAAACATTGATAAATTTCCCCCTTAGCATTGCTTTCACTGCATTTCATAAGTTTTGGTATATTGTGTTTTTGTTTTAATTCACCTTTAGGTTTTTTTCAGTGTCCTTTGTGTTTTCTTCATTGATCTGTTGGTTGTTTTAGTATGTTCTTTACCGTCCACAAATTGTGGATTTTCCAGTTTTTCTTCTGTTGTAGATTTCTAACTTCATTCTATTGTGGTGGAAGAAGATTCTTTGTATAATATCTATCTTTTGAAATCTTTTGAGACTTAATCTGTGACCTAACATATGGCCTATCCTGAAAAATGTCCCATGTACACTTGAGAAGAATGTGTATTCTGTTGTTAGGTACATTATTCTGTCTGTCTGTGAAGTTGAGTCAGTTTGTTGTGTGTTCAAGTCCTCTACTTTATTACTTATCTTCTGTTTGGTGGTTCTAGTCATTATTGTGAGTGGGATATTGAGACTTCCAGCTATTATTGAAGTATTTTTCCCTTCAATTTTGTCAGTGTTTGCTTGACAAATTTTGATGGTCTCTCATTAGGTGTATAAATGTTTATAATTTTTAAATCTTTTTTTGAGACAGGGTCTAACTCTGTCACCCAGGCTGCAGTGCAGTAGCGAGATCTTGGCTCACTGCAACCTCTGCCTCCTCATTGATCCTCCATCTCAGCCTCCTGAGTAGGTAGGACTAGTACCATCATACCCAGTTAATTTTTATATTTTTAGTAGAGATGGGGTTTCACCATGTTGGCTGGGCTGGTCTCGAACTCCTGAGCTCAAGCAGTCCACCTGCCTTAGCCTCTCACAGTGCTGGGAGTACAGGCATGAGCCACCACACTTGATTTGAATATTTATAATTCTTTTTTTTTATCTTCTTGCTATATCAAACCATTTATTTATTTATTTATTTATTTATTTATTTATTTATTTATTTATTTATTTTTGAGACGGAGCCTCACTCTGTCGCCCAGGCTGGAGTGCAGTGACGCAATCTCAGCTCACTGCAAGGTCTGCCTCCCAGGTTCACACCATTTTCCTGCCTCAGCTTCCTGAGTAGCTGGGACTATAGGTGCCTGCCGCCATGCCTGGCTAATTTTTTTTTTGTTTTTTTTTTTGTTTTTTTAGTGGAGATGGGGTTTCACTGTGTTGCCAGGATGGTCTCAATCTCCTGACCTCGTGATCTGCCCACCTTGGCCTCCCAAAGTGCTGAGATTACAGGCGTGAGCCACCACACCCGGCCTGAACCTTTTATTAATATATGATGTCCTTTGTCTCTTGTAACCGCTTTCAGTTTAAGGTCTATTTTGGTCAGCTACAGTAACTCACTCCTATAATCCCAGCACTTTGAGAGGCTGAGACAGGAGGATCACTTGAGGCAGAAGTTTGAGACTAGCCTGGGCAACATAGTTAGACCCCCATCTCTACAAAAAAATTTAAAAATTAGCCAGGTGTGATAGCGCATGTCTGTAGTCCCAGCTACTTGGGAGTCTAAGGCAGGAGGATTGTTTGAGCCCAGGAATTCGAAGATACAGTGAGCTATCATCATGCCATTGCACTACAGCCTGGGTAACAGCGTGAGACTCTCTTTCAGTATAGCTCTTTTGGTTACTATTTGGATGAATATCTTTTTCATCCATTTTCAGCCTGTTTGTGTATTTAGATGTAAATTGAGTCTCTAGTAGACAAGCATATAGTTGGATCAGGTTTTTAATCCATTCTGTCAATCCCTGTCTTTTGATTGGAGAGTTTAATCCATATACATTTAAAGTACTTAACTGATACAGTGGCACTTACTTCTGTCATTTTGCTATTAGTTTTCTAGATGCCTTATAGCTTTTTTTTGTTTGTCATTTTCTGTATTGCTGTCGTCTTCTGTGTTGATTTTTTGCAGTGAAACATTTATATTCCTTTCTCATTCCCTTTTGTGTATGTTATATAGCTGTTTTCTTTTTTTAAAATTATTATACTTTAAGTTCTAGGGTACATGTGCACAAAGTGTAGGTTTGATAAATAGGTATATATGTGCCATGTTGGTTTGCTGCACCCACCAACTCGTCATTTACATTAGATATTTCTCCTAATGCTATCCCTCCGCCAGCTCCTCACTCCCTGACAGGCCCCGGTGTATGATGTTCCCCGCCCTGTGTCCAAGTGATCTCATTGTTCAGTTCCTACCTATGAGTGAGAACATGCAGTGTTTGGTTTTCTGTCCTTGTGATAGTTTGCTGAGAATGATGGTTTCCAGCTTCATCCATGTCCCTGCAAAGGACATGAACTCATCCTTTTTTATGGCTGCATAGTATTCCATGGTGTATATGTGCCACATTTTCTTAATCCAGTCTATCATTGATGGACATTTGGGTTGGTTCCAAGTCTTTGCTGTTGTGAATAGTGCCATAATAAACATATGTGTGCATGTGTCTTTATAGCAGCATGATTTATAATCCTTTGGGTATATACCCAGTAATGGGATGGCTGGGTCAAATGTTATTTCTAGTTCTAGATCCTTGAGGAATTGCCACATTGTCTTCCACAATGGTTGGACTAAATTACACTCCCACCAACGGTGTAAAAGTGTTCCTGTTTCTCCGCATCCTCTCCAGCACATGTTGTTTCATGACTTTTTAATGATTGCCATTCTAATTGGCATGAGATGGTATCTCATTGTGGTTTTGATTCGCATTTCTCTGATGACCAGTGATGATGAGCATTTTTTCATGTGTTTTTTGGCAGCTTAGATGTCTTCTTTTGAGGAGTGTCTGTTCATATCTTTTGCCCACTTGTTGATGGGGTTGTTTGTTTTTTTCTTGTAAATTTGTTTGAATTCTTTGTAGATTTTGGACATTAGCTCTTTGTCTGATGGATAGATTGCAAAAATTTTCTCCCATTCTGTAGGTTGCCTGTTCACTCTGATGGTAGTTTCTTTTGCTGTGCAGAAGCTCTTTAGTTTAATTAGATCCCATTTGTCAATTTTGGCTTTTGTTGCCATTGCTTTTGGTGTTTTAGACATGAAGTCCTTGCCCATGCCTATGTCCTGAATGGTATTGCCTAGGTTTTCTTCTAGGGTTTTTATGGTTTTAGGTCTAACATGTAAGTCTTTAATCCATTTTGAATTAATTTTTGTATAAGGTGTAAGGAAGGGATCCAGTTTCAGCTTTCTACATATGGCTAGCCAGTTTTCCCAGCACTATTTATTAAATAGGGAATCCTTTCCCCATTTCTTGTTTTTATCAGGTTTGTCAAAAATCAGATGGTTGTAGATGTGTGGTGTTATTTCTGAGGGCTCTGTTCTGTTCCATTGGTCTATATCTCTGTTTTGGTACCAGTACCATGCTGTTTTGGTTACTGTAGCCTTGTAGTATAGTTGAAGTCAGGTAGTATGATGCCTCCAGCTTTGTTCTTTTTGCTTAGGATTGTCTTGGCAATGCGGGCTCTTTTTTGGTTCCATATGAACTTTCAAGTAGTTTTTTCCAATTCTGTGAAGAAAGTCATTGGTAGCTTAATGGGGATGGCATTGAATCTATAAATTACTTTGGGCAGTATGGCCATTTTCATGATATTGATTCTTTGTATCCGTGAGCATGGAATATTCTTCCATTTGTTTGTGTCCTCTTTTATCTCGTTATTTCATCGAGCAGTGGTTTATAGCTCTCCTTGAAGAGGTACTTCACATCCCTTGTAAGTTGGATCCCTAGGTATTTTATTCTCTTTGAAGCAATTGTGAATGGGAGTTCACTCATAATTTGGCTGTTTGTCTGTTATTGGTGTATAGGAATGATTGTGATTTTTGCACACTGATTTTGTATCCTGAGACTTTGCTGAAGTTGCTTATCAGCTTAAGGAGATTTGGGGCTGAGATGATGGAGTTTTCTAAATATACAATCATGTCATCTGCAAACAGGGACAATTTGACTTCCTCATTTCCTAATTGAATATCCTTTATTTCTTTTTCTTGCCTGATTGCCCTGGCCAGAACTTCCAACACTGTGTTGAATAGGAGTGGTGAGAGGGAGCATTCTTGTCTTGTGCCGATTTTCAAAGGGAATGCTTCCAGTTTTTGCCCATTCGGTATGATACTGGCTGTGGGTTTGTCATTAATAGCTCTTATTATTTTGAGATACGTTCCATCAATACCCAGTTTATTGAGAGTTTTTAGCATGAAGCGCTGTTGAATTTTGTTGAAGGCCTTTTCTGCATCTATTGAGATAATCATGTGTTTTTTGTGGTCGGTTCTGTTTATGTGATGGATTACGTTTATTGATTTGTGTATGTTGAACCAGCCTTGCATCCCAGGGATGAAGCCGACTTGATCGTGGTAGGTAAGCTTTTTGATGTGCTCCTGGATTCGGTTTGCCAGTATTTTATTGAGGATTTTCGCATCGATGTTCATCAGGGATATTGGTCTAAAATTCTCTTCTTTTTGTTATGTCTCTGCCAGGCTTTGGTATCAGGATGCTGCTGGCCTCATAAAATGAGTTAGGGAGGATTCCCTCTTTTTCTATTGATTGGAATAGTTTCAGAAGGAATGGTACCAGCTCCTCTTTGTACCTCTGGTAGAATTTGGCTGTGAATCCTTCTGGTTCTGGACTTTTTTTGGTTGGTAGGCTATTAATTATTGCCTCAATTTCAGAGCCTATTATTGGTGTATTAAGAGATTCATCTTCTTCCTGGTTTAGTCTTGGGAGGGGGTATGTGTCCAGGAATTTATCCATTTCTTCTAGATTTTCTAGTTTATTTGTGTAGAAGTGTTTATAGTGTTCTCTGATGATAGTTTGTATTTCTGTGGGATCGGTGATGATATTCCCTTTATCATTTGTTATTGTGTCTATTTGATTCTTCTCTCTTTTCTTCTTTGTTAGTCTTGCTAGTGGTTTATCAATTTTGTTGATCTTTTCAAAAAACCAGCTCCTGGACTCATTGATTTTTTTTAAGGGTTTTTATGTCTCTGTCTCTTTCAGTTCTGCTCTGATCTTAGTTATTTCTTGCCTTCTGCTAGCTTTTGAATTTGTTTGTTCTTGCTTCTTTTAATTGTGATATTAGGGTGTCGATTTTAGATCTTTCCTGCTTTCTCTTGTGGGCATTTAGTGCTTATGCTGTTTTCTTTGCACTTATCATGAGGATTATATTTAAGATCCTAACGTGGTAACACAATAATTTGAATTTATACCAGCTTAGCTTTCTTTTCTTTTATTTTTTTTTTTAAGTGAAAACAAGTTTATTAAGAAAGTGAAGGAGGCCGGATGCGGTGGCTCACGCATGTAACTCCAGCACTTTGGAAGGCCCAGGCAGGCAGATCACCTGAGGTCAGGCGTTCAAGACCAGCCTGACCAACATGGTGAAACCCCATCTCTACTAAAAATTCAAAAATTAGCCAGGCGTGGTGGCACATGCCTGTAGTCTCAGCTACTTGGAAGAATCGTTTGAACCCAGGAGGCAGAGGTTGCAGTGAGCCGAGATCGTGGCACTGCACTCCAGCCTGGGTAACAGAGTGAGTCTTCATCTCAAAAGAAAAAAAAAAAGTAAAAGAATAAGGAATGACCTCCAGAGGCAGAGCAGTGACAGCTTAACTTTCATAACATAGAAAAACTCTGCTCCTTTCCAGCTTAGTTTCCATCCCTTTCAGTTGTTAATGTCACAAGATAATATCTTTATACAGGGTGTGTCCAAAATATAAACTAATACTTTTTTAATGCAGTAATCTCTCAAATTATGTAAAAAAACAAAATATGGAGTTATAAACTAAAGTTACAATAACATTAGCTTTTAGACTAATTTTTTTTAATGTATCAGTCTCTTAACGCAGAAAGCCAAAAGTGGAGCTACAAACCATGGTTACAAAAGAGTTACGAACCATGGTTACAAAAACCCCTGTAAATACATGGGCTTTTTTTTTTTTATTTTTTATTTATTTTTTTATTTTTTGAGATGGAGTCTCACTCTGTCACCTAGGCTGGAGTGCAGTGGCGTGATCTCGACTCACTGCAAGCTCCGCCTCCCGGCTTCACGCCATTCTCCTGCCTCAGCCTCCCAAGTAGCTGGGACTAAAGGCGCCCGCCACCACGCCTGGCTAATTTTTTTGTATTTTTAGTAGAGACGGGGTCCCACCGTGTTAGCCAGGATGGTCTCAATCTCCTGACCTCGTGATCCACCCTCCTTGGCATCCCAAAGTGCTGGGATTACAGGCATGAACAGTACATGGGCTTTTATAATTTGCCATATATTTACCTTTACTGAGATCTTTATTTCTTCACTCAACTCTCTAGTGTGCTTTCATTTCAACCTGCAGGACCCCCTTTAGCATTTCTTGCAGGGCAGGTCTAGTATTAAGAAACTCCCTCAGCTTTTTTTTTTTTTTTTTTTTTTTTTTTTCCTGACTGATACGCTTAATTTCTCCCTCATTTTTGAAGGATAGTTTTACTGGATATAAAATTCTTGGTTGACAGGTTTTTTGTTTTTTGTTTTTTTTTCTTTTAGCAGTTTACCACCTTATGGCCCCCTAGGTTTCTGATGAGAAATCTGTTGATAATCTTATTAAGGTTCCCTTTTATGTG
Source organism: Homo sapiens (assembly GCF_000001405.40). Classification (NCBI taxonomy): domain Eukaryota; kingdom Metazoa; phylum Chordata; class Mammalia; order Primates; family Hominidae; genus Homo; species Homo sapiens. Next base: position 392,652 of record NW_011332696.1, read on the forward strand.
ATAAGGTGTTTTTCTTTTGCTGCTTTCAAATTTCTCGTTGTCTTTTTGTTTGTTTTTTGAGACAGAGTCTCAGTCTGTCACCCAGGCTAGAGTGCAGTAGTGCAATCTCAGCTCACTGCAACCTCTGCATCCCAGGCTCAGATGATCCTCCTGCCTTAGCCTCCCAAGTAGCTGGGACTACAGGCATCTGCCACCACGCCTGGCTAATTTTTATATTTTTTTGTAGAGATGGGGTTTTGCCATGTTGCCCAGGCTGGTGTCAAACTCCTGACCTCAAGTGATCTGCCCACCTTGGCCTCCCAAAGTGCTGGGATTACAGGCGTGAGCCAGTGTGCCTGGCCCTTTCTAAAGGTTGATTATAATGTGTCCTGGTGTGGGTCTCTGAATCCTGTTTTGAGTTTGTTGAGCTTCTTGGATGTTTGTATTCATCTCTTTCATCAAATTTGGGATGTTTTTGGCCATTGTTTCTTCAGATGTTTTCTCTCCCTTTCTCTTTCTGTTTTCCTTTTGGGACTCCCACAATGCATACGGTTATCCACTTGATGGTGTCTCATCAATCCCTTAGATCAGTTCACTTTTCCTTAATCTTTTTTCTTTCTGTTCCTCAGACTAGATAGTATTCATTGTACTCATTATTCACTCATTCTTTCTTCTGCCTGCTCAAATCTGCCTTTGAATCCCTGCATTGAATTTTTCGTATCAGTTATTTCAGTTCCAGAACTTATTTTTCATTTCTTTTTAGGTTTTCTGTCTCTTTATTGATATTTTCCATTTGTTTATACATTGTTTTCTTGGCTTTCTCCATGTCTCCTTTAGCTCTTTGAGCATCTTTAAGACAGTTGTTTTAAAGTCTTTGTCTAGTGGATTTGCCATTGTCTTTTTTCAGGGACAGTATCTGTTGGTTTATATTTTTCCTTTGAATGAGCCATACTTTTCTGTTTCTTTGTATGACTGGTGATTTTTTTTTTTTTGAAAATTGGACATTTAAATCCAGTAATATGGTAACTGTGGAAACAGATTCTCCCCCTTCTCTGGGTTTACTGTTTTTTGGGTTTATTTTTGGTATTTTGATTGTTACAGGATGTGTCTGTGCCAAGAATCAGCCAGAGGTATACATGTTAGGTCTCCTCAGATCTTTTCTGAGCCTGTGCTCTTCCCTGGGCATGCATAGCAACTTTCTAATTTCCCCTATATATGTGGTTGCTTTTGAATATCCTGGTCTTTAATGTCCGGGTCCCAGAGAGGGAAAAAGAAAAAAGTGAAGGAGGGTGAAAAAAATGCTGCCCCCTTTAATCCTCTGAAAGTCACTTCAGCGTGAGTGGGAAGACCTTGCAGCAGTGTGGTGGAGGTGCAACAACAGTGATTACCGTCTGTGTCTCTGTCTGCACCTTTGTGATCAGAAGCAGCCAACATTGATCAGAGCATAGATTCATATTTAGAGGACAGGGTCCTTTTCTCCCCTGCTGTCTCCCACAAACTGTGTGCAAGCCACTCCAGGAATAAGTGCGTAGCTGCCTGCAGTGGGGATGGGAGCTTTGAGATGGCTGGTGCTATTATGATGACAGCTGAAATAGACTGAAAGTAATTATAATTCATCATCCAGGCCTTCCTCTGGATGTTGCAAGCCTTCAATAGACTCTAGAGCTACAAAATAGTTACATCAGACAGAGTGCACCAGTGCAATTATTTAGTTGGGAAGATAAATTCCTGGTGCTTCCTACCACAGTCTTCCCCAAATTCCCTTTTTAGTTACTTTTTTTAGGAACCCCCATACTGTTTTCCCCAGCAGGTGCACCATTTTACATTGTCACCAGCAATGCACAAGGGTTCCAAGGATATGGAGAACATCCTTGCCAACACTTGTTATTTTCCATTGTTTGGATAATAGCCATCCTAATGATTAAGTGGTATCTCATTGTGTTTTGTATTTCCCTCATGATTAGTGATGTCGAGCATCCTTCATATGCTTATTGGCTGTTTGTATATCTCCTTTGGAGAAATGCCTATTTAAATCCTTTGCCCAATTGTGTGGTTTGTTGTTTTATCTTTTTAAATTTAGCTCCTTTTCATATTTGCCTTCCTTATAAATAACTCCTGCTTCTTCTGGTAATCTGCTTGAGGAATGAGATCATTTCTTTGCTATTTCCTACAGTGCTAGTACATAGTAGTGTGTGCCTGGTAAACACTTATAGTGGTAGGATAGGCCAGTCATACAGCCAGCTTTTGAAAGCCTGCTTAATTGACTACTACAGTTGGTGACTGGGGACTTTGAGACAGTGAGGAAATTAACACGAATTGTGTGCCTCCTCTTTGCTAGGTGCTGTGGTAGGCATAACTTTATATAGTTCCCATAATACTCCTTTAATATGTCACACTTACAGATGAAGGATTTGAATTAAGGGAAGTTAAATTTAGACTCCCTCAACATCACACAGGTTTTAAATGGCAATCCTTGGATTCCAATTCCGGGTCTACCTGACTCCAAACTTTTTCATTATACCATGTGGTCTCCCTTCCCTAGTCTGGTAAGTTCAAACAGAGAGCAAGCCTGCGAACCTGGAAATTGTTTAGGGCAGATGAGCAGTTGAACATTTACTTAATAGGAGACAGAGAATCGTGCTATATTGCCGAGGCTGGCTTTGAACTTCTAGGCTTAAGCAGTCCTCTCACCTCTGCATACCAAGTAGTTGGTAACTACAGCCTATTCCATTTTACTTAATTATTCAAGAGGAAAAGGTAGAGATTGTGAAATGCTAATTTTATAGCAGTGAACAGGATTCCTCGAAGACACTGAGGTGTGTCGTTTGTGGATACTGATGACCTTTGGAAATACTGTGTCTACTTTTGGGTGTGACATCCTCTGTTCTTGTTTCTTTGGTACCATAAATTAGGGCCACTGGCCATGGCCAAATGGGTGCCTAACACAGAAGGATGAAGTGCTTTTCATTGCTTACCACAAATTCCCTTGAACCCTTTACTTCTCTGAGACTTAAGAAATGCAAGAATAAAGGGAACAGAGTTTTATCAAAATCCTATTGTGTGCTAGGCAAACCCTAGAAGGGACATGATTATTATCTTGCTTTTACATATGAGAAAATTGAGGCTCAAAGATGTAAGATAAATTGTCCAGATTCACACAGCTAATAAATAAGGGAGCTGAATTCAGCTTTTTCCATGCTGCCTCCATTAAAAAGTTCCTCTGTCTTGCCCTCTGGTGGGTTTCGGAGGTCCTGGGAGAAATGTTTGTATCCTCACCAAACATTGTGGTGGGTGGCATCTTACATGGGGCTTGTTCTGCACTTGCAGTTTCTTCTGCCACATGGTTTAACCAGAGCAATGATGACTGCCGTTGCCCCCTCGAGGTTAGCACTCCTCTGAGGTCACAGGGTGGGGATAAATGTTCTGAAGGAATCAGCCTTAGAAAGCACACTTTTTCTAAGTATCCCGAAGGAATCAATCACTAACGCACATCACAAAATTCTCTCCAAGTTGGGAAGATGGTTTTAGACTTTCTCTTTCTTTTCTTTTTTTTTTTTTTTTTTTTTTTTTGAGGTGGGAGTCTCGCACTCTCGTCCAGGCTGGAGTTTGGTGGCACAATCTCGGCTCACTGCAAGCTCCACCTTCCAGGTTCACGCCTTTCTTCTGCCTCAGCCTCCCAAGTAGCTGGGACTACAGGCACCCGCCACCACGCCCAGCTAATTTTTTGTATTTTTACTAGAGATGGGGTTTCACCGTGTTAGCCAGGATGGTCTCGATATCCTGACCTTGTGATGGGCCCGCCTCGGCCTCCCAAAGTGCTGGGATTACAGGCGTGAGCCACCGCGCCCGGCCAGACTTTCCCTTTCTTTAAGAAGAGAAGGGAGTGCCTTTGAGAACTAGAGTTTAAGTAAAGGATACATATAGCTTAAGTGCTTTTATCTTTGAAATATACTATGACCAATAGACTCGAAAATTTCTTATTGTTTTTGGGGGTATCATAGTCAATTTGGGCTCCTATAACAGAATACCATAAACCGGGTGGCTTAAACAGCAAGCATTTATCTCTGATAGTTCTGGTGGCTGGGAAATCCAAGGTCAAGGTGCCGGCAGATTTGCCTCTGCCGAGGACCTGCTCCCTGGTTTGCAGATGGCTATCTTCTTGCTGTGGCCTCACATGGCTGGGAACAGAAAGAGTGAGGGGAGGCTCTCACATCTCTTCTTCTAGTGACACTAGTCCCATTCATGAAGCCTCTATACTCATGATCTACTCACCCACTAAGGTCCCCACCTCCTAATACCATTACACTGGGGATTAGGATTTCAACATAGGAAATTTGGGGAAACACAAACATTCAGTCCATACGGGGGAATTTTCTTTTTTCAGAATCTGTTGTTTAATTATACCTTCACAGTAACTTTTGTCAAAGTTATATTTAATTTCTACTTCCTGGATTCTGTAGCAGTAAATGGAGCTCGTTATGTGTCCCAATATTTGTAATACTGATTTCTAGTCCTAGAAGTATCTAAGCCTCTCAGAGTTAAGGAATTCGGTTTGGTAATAGGCTAAGCTAATAGCCATATGGCTCTGCACTGTGCTATAGAGAAACTGTGGGTTTCCCCCCACCTGACATCTCAGAATGAAAAAGATCACTCTGCAGAATATTTCCCACACTTCTAACCCTGATGATTTTTCCACTCAACATTTTACACAAAGAGGTAGGTACAGATGGTAGTTTGCTGGATCTCTGGAATATTCAGTCTTGGTCTTCACTCACTCCCTGGAGCCTACTCCTCATTTTTGTATAAGCAAAGTGGTTTAAACAGGGTCTTAGGAAATATCTCCAGTATTTACCATTTGCAAACCTAACCCTTAATATATGGAATCTGTTAGATCAGGTTTTTAACTCAGTAAACATCTTTGGGTGCATCCCCGTATTAAACTAAAGAAGAAGTAGAAAACTGAAGGCAATGGCCCTGTTGCTTAACTGTAAGGAACATGTAATTTAGAAACTTCTTCTCTTTAACATGGAAAACTAACCATAAGTATGTGGATCAACGTTCTTCTTTATGGAGTATTAGGAGTGAAGTGTCATGATGTTATGGTGTTTTTAACGGCTCAGCAAAAGAAAAAAAATTATATAGTGAGATGAAGTAGATATGACAAAATATTAGTTGTTGAATCTAGGTGGTGGGTATTTGGGTATACATTTTTCCCCTACTTTTCTACATTTAAAAATTTTCATAATAAAGGGTAAAGCAGAAAAATCCTAAGTGTAAAAAACATTTATAAAACTATACAAAAAATAATTTCAAGGTTCATTCTCTATTAATGGTATTGGAGTTGGTAGGAAATAATTAAAATAGGAGTATAAATCCAGAAGCCCGCAGAGGCCAGGCAGGTAATGTGGGTGAGTGGAGCTGCCGGGCATTGGACAGGAGGGAGATGGTGGGGACTGAGCAAACAGGCAAGTGCACAACTCATTGAAAGCATTCCAAAAATTTAAAAAATCTTAATGCTCATTCAGAATGAAACACTTCAGAGGACTGGAAGTTTGTGGTCTCCTAAAAATGACAAAATTTACCGTCTCTAAATTTGCCCAGCTTTCTGTCCTTCTCCCTCTTTTCAGAAGATCCAGGAGAGGCGTAGCTATCAATACGAGAGGGAGATGGTTTCCTGGCACAAGAGGGTGATGGGAAAACATTGTGTTCAATGCCTCTAGAATTTGCCTGGGTTGCCACAACTTTGTTGCTTCAGGAATGGAAAATGTGGCCCATCTTCTTATTTTCTCTGTCCTGTCTTGCTCCTGCTATGACCCGGGGCAGGATTTGCGGTGGGTTTATGGAGATTCCTATGAGTCAAGGAAGCACATTCTGAGGATAGAGTCATGCACCTGGGTTTTGTTTTTAGATGGTTAGAGGGAGGCTGCAATTGTGATTTATAAGAATGACTTAAAGTGTAATTCCTTTGATTTTGAAGTTGGCTAGGCAACTTAATTTGAACATCCTAGTGTGCCTATTAGACCTGGCAACCTTCTCAAAATCCCCCTCCTACTTCCCTCGTTTCCCTCACCCTCCACCTTTTTCTCAAGAGGTAGAAGTGAGAGTTTTGTTTTGTGAGCTAAGGTTGGGTTCTGGGCCCTCTGCTTCAGCCACCTGGCAGCTTGGGCTGGCCCTGTAGCCTTCCTCCACTTCATTCTGCGATTCAGGCTCCCAATAGTCTTCTGAAGCACCGGAGAGCTTCCTCATGCACCTTAGAAGAGCAGATTCAGACTGAGACAAGGACTCGCTCTTAGGCATATATGCAGCCTACAGAGATCCTGGGAAGCCTTTTTCCTCCTAATATCTTCCTAGACTTATGCTTTCCTTGGAATTCCAGCAATAGAACTGCATACTCGTACCCTAATCAAGAACCTTTTATGTACTAGGTGCTCTACTAGACATGAGATAAAAAGATAAGCAAAACGTGGTCCCTGTCTTCAACCAGCTCACCATTTGTTATACCACTTTAATCACCTTAGAGAAAATTTTTTTTTTTTTTTTTGAGACAGAGTCTTGCTCTGTCACCCAGGCTGGAGTGCAGTGGCAAGATCTCGGCTCACTGCAAGCTCTGCCTCCTGGGTTCACGCCATTCTCCTGCCTCAGCCTCCCGAGTAGCTGGGACTACAGGCGCCTGCCACCACGCCTGGCTAATTTTTTTATATTTTTAGTAGAGACGGGGTTTCACCATGTTAGCCAGGGTGGTCTCGATCTCCTGACCTCGTGATTCGCCTGCCTTGGCCTCCCAAAGTGCTGGGATTACAGGCGTGAGCCACTGTGCCTGGCCGATAAAATGTTTTAAGATGTGTTCGGCCATATGAACTTTGGTGAGAATTAAAGATGAGGTTTTTACTTATGGAGTAGGGGGCACTTGGGATGGGTGAAGAAGGGAGAACTGCCCTGAAGTTCTTACTCATAGATGAGGAAAAACCTCAGCTTTTTGTTAAAATGAGTTTATTTATTTAAAAAATATTTAAGGGGGAAATGCATTCATTTGGTTAAAAAAAGTTCTGTTAAAAGTATACTATGAAATTCCCCCTCTTTACCCCTTGCCTCCATCTAATTCTTATATATCATTTCAGAGTTTATTTATGTAAATATAAGTAAATCTGAACATATACTCTTGTTTACTTGCACCCCAACCCCCATTTTTATGCAATGATAGCACACTCTATGCATCTATATACCTTTTAAAAATTTTATCTTATGGAGGTTTTTTTCCATGTAAGTACATAGAGAGCGCCCTCATTCTTTTCTTTGTTCATGTAATACTATTTATAGATATACCCTGATTTAATTAACAGGCCCTCTATTCAGGGACATTGTGGTGTTTGCTGACCTTTGCTGTTACAGTCACTGCTGCAATGAATACTCTTGTATATACATCATTTAGCTTGTGTGCTACTGTGTGTGTAAATTCCTAGTGGTGAAGCTGTTGCATCAGAGGCTATGCATTTGTAATTTTGTTATCCATGCCAAATTGCCCTCCTCCATAGGGTGTTAACAACTTACACACTAAGCAGCAAAACCTCTTTCCTCACAGCTCCACCTACAAAGTATTTTTCATGCTTTTCGTTTTTACCAATTTGACAGGTGAAAAATGGGCTTGTGGTAAAGTTTCAATTTGTTTTTCTTATTATAAGTGAGGTTGTGCATCTTTTCTTATAGTTGAGGTATTGGTATTTCCTTTTCTGTGAAATATCTTTTCATAACTTTTGTTCATCTTTCTTTTGCTAATTCTTTTTTTTTTTTTTTTTTGAGACGGAGTCTTGCTCTGTCGGCAGGCTGGAGTGTGGTGGCATGATCGCGGCTCACTGCAAGCTCCGCCTCCGGGTTCAAGCGATTCTCCTGCCTCAGCCTCCTGAGTAGCTGGGAATACAGGTGCCTGCCACCATGCCCAACTAATTTTTGTATTTTTAGTAGAGACGGGGTTTCACCATGTTGGCCAGGATGGTCTTGATCTCTTGACCTCGTGATCTGCCCGCCTCGGCTTCCCAAAGTGCTGGGATTACAGGCGTGAGCCACTGCGCCTGGCCCTTTTGCTAGTTTTTAATTTGCCAATTTCTTTTCTTGTTTTTTTAGAGATGGAGTTGGATCTTGGCTCACTTCAGCCTTTGCCTCCCGGGTTCGAGAGATTCTTCTGCCTCAGCCTCTCAAGTAGCTGGGACTACAGGTGCATGCCACCACACCCACCTACTTTTTGTATTTTTAGTAGAGATGGGGTTTCACCGTGTTAGCCAGGCTGGTCTTGAACTCCTGACCTCAGGTGATCTGCCCGCCTCAGCCTCCCAAAGTGCTGGAATTATAGGCATGAGCCACTGTGCCCAGCCTTATTTGCAATTTCTAGGCACTCTTTATATATTAGGAAGTTTACCCTATGTGATATGAGTTATCACAATAGGAGGAAAAAGGCTTCCTGGGGTCTCTGCAGGTTTTTTATTTTCCTCAGATTTTGGGTATTCTTTTTGTATTTTAAATTTTAACTTGTGTTTGTTGTCATGAGGAGTCTTGGTTTTTGTATTGTTGAATTTATCAGTGTTTCCTTTATGGCTTTTGCATTATCCTGGTCCACTGTTAATGGCACAAAATCGTTCATTCCTTTTTCCATGGTGCCTCCTTCCTCTTTTCCTCTTTCAATTTCGGATTGACAGCAAAATGCTTTTGGTATCTTCTCCCAAGTTTGCGTTCCTGGAAATGTATTTCTTGTCAGTGATAGGGTAGCCCTTGATAGTTTTGTTAGGAGATTTTAGTGGTCTGTAGCATTCCCATTTTCTTGGTACAGGCACTCTGGGAAACTGACAGTTTCTTATAAAACTAAACATGCAATTACCATATGACCCAGCAATTGCATTCTTGGGCATTTATCCCAGAGAAATGAAAACTTATGTTTACACAAAAACCTGTACATGACTGCTCACAGCAGACTTGTTTGTAATAGCCCCAAACTGGAAACAGTCCAAATGTCCTCCAATGGGTGAATGGTTTAACAAACTCTGATACATATATACCATGGAATACTACTCAGAAATAAAAAAAGAATTAACCATTGATATATCAACAACATAGACACATCTCTAAAGTTTTATGTTGGGCAACTAAAAAGATTCAATCCTAAAAGCTTACATCATGTATTATTTCATTTATATAACACTTTTGAAAGGACAAAATTTTAGAAATGTTGAATGGATTAATGGTTGCCAGTGTTTTAAAGATGGAAAGGGGGATGAGAGAAAGAGTGGGGTAGGTATAGTTACAAAAGCAGCACAAGAACTCTTTGTGGTGATGGAACTTTTCAGCATCTGACCATGGTGATGAATACATGAACTTGTGTATAGGAAAAAAAACTAAATACAGACACAAATCAGTGCAAATAAAATGAGGAAATCTGGGCTGGGCACAGTGGCTCATGCCTGTAATCCCAGCACTTTGGAAGGCTGAGGCAGCTGGATCACCTTAGGTCAAGAGTTTGAGATCAGCCTGGCCAACATGGTGAAACCCTGTCTCTACTAAAAAATGCAAAAATTAGGCAGGAATGGTGGCACATGCCTGTAATCCCAGCTACTCAGGGGCCTTGTTCAATTGCTTGAACAAGGTTTCAGTGAGCTGAGGAGATCATTCCACTGTGCTCCAGCCTGGAAGACAGAGCGAGACTGTGTCTCAAAAAAAAAAAAAAAAAAAAAAAAAAGGAAATCTGCCCGGGTGCAGCGGCATACTCCTGTAGTCCCAGCTACTTGGGAAGCCAAGGTGGGAGGATCTCTTGAGCTTAGGAGTTTGAGGCCAGCCTCAGCAACAGAGGGAGATACCATCTCTAAACCAAAAAAGGGAGGGATGGGTAGGATCTGAATAAGGTCAGATTATATCTATGTCAATATCCTGGTTGTGATATTGTACCATAGTTTTACAAGATGTTTCCATTGAGGGAAATTGGGTAAAGGGGACACGGGATCCTATACATAGGATCTCAATAAAAATTTCAATTAAAAAATTCCCAATTTCTGCTAATACTGGATTCACCAAAACATACTGCCTGGAAGCAGGTTCAGGTCAAGTAACTGGTGCTCTCCTGTGTTAGGACTTGTAGTGCAGCAGCTGAGCAGTGGAATGTGGAGGAGCCTAGCAGTGCCTCGGGTTCCAGCCCTGTATGCTGCTCTGTCTCAGAAGATCTGAGAGCATCGACCAGCATTTCCCAGGATTCTCTGGGACAACCTAGCTGGGTAGCCCTTCATACAGCCTGTCTGGAGGGAGAGAATACTGGCTTCAGCTCTAATATATCAGAACAGTGTGGTGTGGATGTTGGTGGTTGGGGACAGTGAGGGGTGGACATTGGTGGTTGGGGTCGGTGAGGAAGGGTTCCCAAGATGAGCTTTGGCCAGGTGAGGTGGCTTACACTGAGGCGGGAGGATCGCTTGAGCCCAGAAGTTCGAGACCAACCTGGGCAGCAAAACCCTGTCTCTACTAAAAATACAAAAACTAGCTGGCTGTGGTAACAAGTGCCTGTGGCCTCAGCTACTCTGGAGGCTGAGGTAGGAAGATTGCTTGGGTCCAGGAGGTCGAGGTTGCAGTGAGCTAAGATCACGCCACTGCACTCCAGATGGGCAACAGAGCAAGACTCTGTCTCAAAAAAAAAAAAAAAAAAAAAAAGCTTTGCTGTGCCCTGCACGTGACCTACTGTCATATGTATTCTGTGTTCCTTGTGCTGTAGCATTGGCTCTGCTGTGAGACAGAATGGTCTGGCATGTGGTAGGGCGATCACTGGGATCCCCAAGACCCTGCTAGGGAATCTCTGAGGTCAAAACTATGTTTGTAATAATACTTAGACATTATTTGCAAAACATGCTCATTCTCTTACAGAAGTGTCCAGTGGAGTTTTCCAGAGGCTAAATGATGTGAAATAGCAACAGATTAAATGCAGAAGCAGCTATGATATTCCAGCTGTTTTCTATTAAGGCAGACATTAAAAAGACATTAATAAAAATAAACCAGTGGCATCATTTCACTTTTTTGGTTTGGAAGAATATTTTCCTTAAAATGTTATTTTTGTTAATGTATAAAGGGGTTATCATTATATTTAAATGATTTAATATTTAAGAATGTTCTCAGTTTTAATTTTTATAGGTGAATATCAAAAGATAAAACTCACATAAAAGCTCTTTGGGGTCCTTGGTAATTTTTGAGAGTGTAGAGGTTCTGATAATTGAGAACTGTTGATTTGGCAGAAAGCAATAGGCTTAATTTCTAGACTGGGCTTTGCTTTGTGAATGTGGGCATCATTTGGCCTCTTCAATTGATTTCTTCTCCTGCAAATGCTATTAATTGCCCTGCTACATACCTATAAAAATATAATCCCCTATGCAAATACAGGGGAGATTAATGGTTACCTGGCTAAGCTGGTGTTGAAAGAAAATGTAAAGAATGAGTTTCTGGCCTGTTAGCTGACAGTCTGTTTACTTGTTAAATGTCTCCATTTTAGCATCTCCTAGCAGTTTCTGTATACATTTGATTTCTTTTTCTCAGTTTTTCAGACAACCATTTTAATTATTTTTAAAAATTATATTCCCACATTTTCAATTAATAAGGGATTTATATTCCTAGTACCTTGAAGTGATGTGATAAGGTCAGGAGCTCTGTTCTTGGAGAAACCACTTACTAGCTATGTGACGTTTGGAAAGTTACTTAACTTCTCTGTGTCTTGGCTTCCTCCTGTGTAAATGGAGCTAATAATACCTCACTTTCCAGGGCAGCTGTGAATACGAAAAATCGTGCACAAGAAGCACTTAGCAAAAGTGCTTGGCACATAACAGATGCCCCATAAATAATAATTGCAACGATTGTCATTAACATATAACAAAAGATGCAAGATTAAATTGAAGTCTTACCCTGTCTTCAGTGAACTTGTTAAACTACTTTATTCACAAGTTTATTAGCAGTAATTTTAATTTCATTTCATTTTTTTCTCCTTTGAAGGGCTATTGAGTGGCCAGACTTCCCCAACAAATGCCAAATTGGAGAAACTGGACTCTCAGCAGGTGTTGCAGCTCTGCCTCCGATATCAAGATCACCTGCATCAGTGTGCAGAGGCCGTTGCTTTTGACCAGAATGCTTTGGTTAAACGAATCAAAGAGGTAATGTGCTGCGGGAAAATAACATTGCTGACTGGTTGTTGTGATTCTCTGCAACTCTGGATGCCATCTTAAGACTTGACATTTGTCACTATTGCTTTGAGGAGATTGCTTTTTCCCAGCAGTAAAATGTGATGATGAAAAAAGTGGTCCACAGAGCTGGGCTAATTTAGAGTTTGAATTCTGATCACCACTGATTTGCTTGGCCAAGTTGCTTAACTTCTCTGTCTCAGTTTCCTCATGTGAAAAATGGGGCTAATAGTAGTAACTTACCCCAAGGGTTGAGTGACAGATTGCTTAGTAAGTGTTAGCTATTATTAGTGCATGTAAAGTCCTGCCATACTAATTTGCTCTAGCCACCATTCTGTCTTTGAATTGACTTTAATTGTTTCCTGTGTATAATTTATATTTTGTTTCCCAGTAGATTAAAATTTCTTTCAAAGCAGGAGCTTTGATACGAAAAGCTCCAGTGATTCTTAATGGTTTTATGGAAACAATTACGCCTATTTAACCCGCAAAGTTTTTAAAGGAAAGAAGCAATGTAATTCATGTGAAAGTACTTAGTAAACTGAAGCACATGATGCAAATGTTGTGTAATTATCAATCTCAGTAAATAGGTACTTCCTTTAAGCACTTAAATGTATCATTGACCAGCTGCTGCACAGCACAGTTCTAGGGGCATAAAGGAATAAGTAAGTACATTTTCCAAAGTTTCCAGTCAAGAAAAACTTTATATTCCTGATACCTTGATGTACTGTAATATCAAGGAAATGTTAGGAGCTGTTTACTGGAGAAACCACTTCTGTGAATGGCACTCCCAGATTTGTTTAACAAAGTGGCCCTTTAACTCTGGTGAGAGAAGATGGACATGGAGAAACAAGTGATGGAGCAAGAATCACTGCAGATTAACAATTTGTATTTAGCAATGGAGGTAGTGTATCCTTGAGATTACAAAGCAGTCATTAGTTATATTGACAGATTTAAATTTGCCAACACCTCCAACATTTTAGTGCTTAGCTTTCATAAAATGTTGCATGCATATACTCTTCTCTCATGGGTTAAATACTATTATTTGGAAAACTATTAAACATGACCTTTGATATTGCTTTTCATTGATGTGGCTTTGCAAATATTATAAACTTATTTTACTATATTATGGTCTACCAAGCTTTACTTTCCAAACATGACTATTCATTGGCATCATGTGAGTTTTTTGTTTGTTTTAATACTGAGTTCTCCCCTCCTCCCAGTAAGTCTAGGTGTGGTCTGTGAATCATTATTTTAATAAGATGTTATGGTTTGGCTGTGTCCCTACCCAAATCTCCTCTTGAATTGTAGCTTCCATAATTCCCACATGTCATGGGAGGGACCCAGTGGGAGGTAATTGAGTCATGGGGGCAGGTCTTTCCCATGCTGTTCGCATGATAGTGAATAAGTCTCATGAGACCTGATAGTTTTGTAAAGGGGAGTTCCCCTACACAAGCTCTCTTGCCTGCCGCCATGTAAGATGTGACTTTGCTCCTCATTCACTTTTAGCTGTGATTGTGATGCCTCCCCAGCCATGTGGAACTGTGAGTCAACTAAACCTCTTTCCTTTATAAATTACCCAGTCTTGGATATGTCTTTATTAGCAATGTGAGAACAGACTAATACATAAGTTTACCAAATGATACAATGCCACCCTCTATTACCCAGGATTTGGGAACCAGTGGTCTTAAGCACTATTTCTAAAATAAGTTCTACAAAACTAGTCCCATATAAAGAGGTCAAACGATTTGCATATTCCCTCACCACCCCTTGGAAAGTCACAAAGCGTATTATCTCACTTAAAGTTCTTAGGAGTCTCACAATAAAGAAAGCCAGACTTTTGAAACTTAGTTGACCTCAGAACACTTATCTTAGGTAACATTTATTAATGTCCCATAAAGTAGTGATTTTAGAACATTCTTTGGGAAATGCTATTGTAGACATAAGACTTTACCTTTTTAATTTTTTTAGAAACAGAGTCTTATGCTGTCACCGAGGCTGGAGTTTAGTGATAACATTCATAGCTCGTTGCAACCTCTAACTGCTGGGCAGAAGCGATTCTCCAACCTCAGCTTCCTGAGTAGCTTAGGACTACAGGTGTATGCCATCACGCCTGGCTATGTTGCCTAGGATGTTTTCAAACTCCTCAGCTCAAGCGATCCTCCCGCCTCTGCCTCCCAAAGCACTGGGATTACAGGTGTGAGCCACTGCCCCTAGCCAGACTCTACCATTTTTTACAGTTGTGCTAGAAGTTAATTAACTATGACATTAACTCTCAGAGAGGAGATCTTAGAATTATAATAAATTGGCTTTTTGATGCTTATTCTTTTTAAAAAGTCCTTTAAGTTCAAGACCAGCCTGGCCAACATGGTGAAACTCCATCTCTACTAAAAATACAAAAATTAGCCAGGTGTGATGGTGCATGCCTGTAGTCCCAGCTCCTCGGGAGGCTGAGGCACAAGAATCGCTTGAACCTGGGAGGTGGAGGTTACAGTGAGCCCAGATCATGTCACTGCACTCCAACCAGGGCGACAGAGCCAGATTTCATCTCAAAAAAAAAAAAAAAAAAAACGAAAAACAACAACAAAAACCTCTAATCCATATCTGTTGTTTTGCAGTTTAGTAAAGTGTGGTACGGAGAGATTAACTGACTAGCTCTATATCAGAGAGCTGGGGAAAGTGTTTTGTAGCTGGAAGTACCAGACAGAGCTTCTCATTATAGCACATTTTCAAGACTTCAGAGCAGTGTTTGTCAGCCCTGGTTACATGTTAAAATTACTCGGAAGTTTTTTCCTCCAATATATATGATGGGAAATTTTACACATATACTGAAGAAGACAGGGTAAAAGAAGGCGGAGTAACACAGTGAACCTTAATGTACTCATTACCAGCCACTACAATCATCAGCTTGCAAATACTCCTGTTTTATCCATATCCCCACTCCCTGCCACCCTCAACTGTATATTTTATAGTAAATCCCCAGACATTATTTCATTCATAAATATTTAAGTATATATCTTTAAAAGTGAAGGATTCTTTTAAAAAATAACTTTTAAATTTGAATTAATTTTAGACTTGGAGGAAAGTCACAGAAATAATTTGAGAGTACCTATATACCCTGCCCCATGCAGCTTCCCCTAAAGTTAACACTTTACATAACCTTCGTACAATGATCAAAACCAGGAAATTAGCTTGGTACAATACTAGCAATTAAATGGAGGCCTTATTTTGAATTTTACCAGTAATTCCACGAATGAATGACTGAGTCGTTTTGAAAGATGTAGTTATAATGCTGTTATACCTAAA
The DNA here is from genome assembly GCF_000001405.40 of Homo sapiens. NCBI lineage: Eukaryota > Metazoa > Chordata > Mammalia > Primates > Hominidae > Homo > Homo sapiens. The sequence goes on from NW_011332696.1 coordinate 408,119, forward strand.
ATATTTAACAATGATACCTTAATTCATTCAGCATAGCTGAGGTGCTGTTAAGAAAATTCTGATGTCTGGGTCTCACTCCGAACCGATTAGATCAAAATCTTTGAAGGGTGATAGGGTTAGGGCGGTGGGATGTTGGGTATTGGTATTTATGAAGGTGCTCTAGGTGATTCTAGTATGTAACCAGGGGAGAACCAGTGTTTTGGAGCATTCATTTAAAAATAAACTGACTTTGGCGGGCGACATGGCTCATGCCTGTAATCCCAGCACTTTCGGAGGCCAAGGCAGGTGGATTGTTTGAGCCCAGGAGTTCAAGACCAGCCTGGGCAACATGGTGAAACCCCATCTCTACAAAAAAGACCAAGAAAAAAAACAAACAGGCATGGTGGTGCGTGCCTGTAGTCCCAGCTACTTGGGAGGTGAGAAGATGGTTTGAGCTCAGGAGGCAGAGGTTGCGGTGAGCCGAGATCTCCACTCCAGTCTGGGCTACAGAGCAAGACCCTGTCTCAAAAAATAAAATAAACAGTTTAAAATTCTGTTTGAAGAACTTTGGGATTCACTTTGAATAGTCAGTAATTACCCAGGATTATTGCAAAACAGAGACCAGCACTCACAGTACTGAGCAATACCTCAGCAGCGTGCTCGGGCAGAGGAGGTGAGTGCAGTTTTGGGGCTTTCATTGGTGGCGTAATGTGTCCGTCTTATCTCTGTTGGTGAGTGTTAGCAAACTCCTGAATCATATCCGTCCGTCTATGTTCACCTCAGACCTAAGGGTTGAAATTAGTCACTTCCAAATGAGTAAAGCAGAGGATGTCATTTTGATCAAACACCAACTCTCTGATATTATTCCAGATGTTTCCTGGAAATTTGGTTGGAAAGATGAGGAAGTAACATAATGCTATGTGTTGACAAGTGAGGGAACTTAATAACCATGGAGAATATGTGTTAGTGGAAGTATATAACCGGGATCAACTAGAGGTCCCTAAGATTACAGTACCTGTGATCACTTAAGTCTGGATCAAAGGGAAACATGGCTATAACTATTTCTGATTCAGATAAAGGAAAATCAGAGAGTTAGCTCAGCTTTCCTTATGTTAAATTTGGATGATGCTCTTGAATGAAAAGCTTATGTTTATAGATTTGTGTATGTGAGGGAGAAGAACGGAGGTAATTTACTTTGCAATCAGGGAGTCTAGTGACATACCTTAACTACTAGTTTCTTTAATGGCGATAGGCTGACCCCTCAGCCAGCACTGTTGAGCAGCTATTGCAGACCCACCTAGTGGGGAGGTCCTTTGGGGGTTCCAGAGACATGTAACATGGTCCTTGCTCTTTGAGAGTTTAGCCTCGCTGAGGGAATGAAGATATACAGAACAGAAATATGAAAAAGGCACTGTTGAAGGGGAATGCTCATTTGTTATTTATAACTAAAGTTCTGTAAGAGTTAAAGATTGGGATATCCTGGAGCAGACGGGGTTTAAGCTAGGTCTTTGAAAAAAAAAAAAAAACCAGGATTTGGGAAATGAGAGGAAGAGGGGGGCATTGCTGCAGGGGAACAGCTTGACAGTCTTAGAAGAAAATTAACTTTGGGGCTTCAGGGACACTGAAGAAACTGGCCTGAGTTTCAGTGAGCTTGCTCAGAGAAATCTCTGCATTAAGAACCACAGAATGTTGGAATTGGAAGGACCTTAGAGACCCTCTGGTCCAGTGCTCTCATTATTCAGATGCAGAAATTAAAGGCTTTTACAGAAAGTAAGCACTTCGCCCAGGTCACACAGTGAGGTAGTGGCCAAAATTAAGTTAAAAGTGGATGAAGATCAAAGGGGATTTTTTGTTATGCAGGTGGTGCACTTGAACATGTTTACAGGATGAGGGGGAAGAGGCAGATGAGACAAGATCAAAGATGAAGGAGAAAGGGGGATTCTTAGAGCAAGATCCCTGAGGAGGCAAGAGTTGGAGCCTTGTGGGACATCTGTTCTGAGAGAACAGGGAGGACGCAGGCAAGTTTATGACAGGAGGGTCCCTGGCACAGATCGGTCACACCCAGCAGCTTGTATCCTCTGTGGAGAAGAGGGAGGTCATTTGTTGAGTGGTCATGGTGACTGGGTACAGTAATGAGTGCCATTAGGCATTGAGGGCTCAGCTGAGGCAGGGCAACTTGTATTTGCTCTTTGTATTTGCAGACAATTTGGCAGAATGGTTCTGAGCGTAAACTCCAGAGCCACACTGCCAAGGTTCAATCCTGGCTCCATCTCTGACTACCTGTGTGACCTCAGGCAAGTCCCTTAATTCTTCTGAGCCTCAGTTTCCTTTTCTGTTCAGTGAGAACAGAATGACATCCACCTCAGGTTTTCGTGAGGGTTCAATGAGTTATTCTTGGTACAGTTCTAGGGACCACGCCTGCCATGTAGTAGACACTGTAGTGTTAGCTCTTTGTTATTGCTTTAAATATAAATGATGACTAAGGAGAAAGGCCTATCCTAATTGCCATGAATTGGCCCATTTGAAATTACTTGATACCAGCAGCTGTCTAAATATTGCCCCATTTTAAGTTCTGCTCTTAACAACCCAAGTATAAGCACTAAATAGAGGCAAGGCAAAAAAAAAATTTTTTTTTTTTTAAGCCCACTGTGGTTTCCTTCAAACCCTGCAGGATTTCTTTCATGCCATGAATATGTAGTTTTTGGAATTTCTGTAGTGAATTTAACTGTTTATTCTGCTTTGTGGATAGCATACTCGTGCCTGGGGAACATGGGTCTTGAGAAATGTGAAGCTGGATGGTGGCAAACCATTAGTCCTTGGCTTCTAGGCTGTGGATACATGGCTGCCTCTGATTTGGGGGATTTCCTGTATATTGCCTCATTTCTAGTTAAGGATTCAAGTTGACAGACACTTAGTTTTAGGTTACATCTATCATTGAAATGTGGGGTAACTGAAAAGCCAACCAGAAAGGAGTGTGCTTCCTCCCCAGGTGTGGTTTCCCTGGGGGCGAGGGATGAGGCTGGTGGCAAATACGCAGCCCCAGGAAGATGCAGCACAGACTTTTGGAGCTTCTCTTGTCACTTCCCTGGGTCTTACTTCTGCCTCATTCTAGTTGCTGTCAGTGGGTAAATGTGTTCATAGATTAGAACAAGTTGCAGCACAGACTTTTGGAGCTTCTCTTGTCACTGCCCTGGGTCTTATTTCTGCCTCATTCTAGTTGCTGTCAGTGGGTAAATGTGTCATAGATTAGAACGCCTTTGTAACTAAGATAAAGCCACAAGCTTTATTTTGTTACAGTTCCTGTGTGCTTGCTTGAAGGCCTTGAGAGTACATTCATGATATGATTCTAGTAACTCCTGTTTTAATTCTTAGATGTGTTGATAAGCATAGTGTATTGACATAAACCAGTATGAAGCATGGAGGGGGTTCAGATGAACTGGTAAGAAAAACTTGCAATCCTTGGAAAGCCATATGATTACACAGGATTATGAAGAGGCCCTAAGGTTTCTCTAATTTAGCCCTTTCATTGTGCAAATAAAGAAACCAAGGATCTTCGAGTGTATATGGGATTTGCTGGGTATCTTTCCATTAGATAATGACTAAGATGGTATTAGAAGGTGAGTCATCTTTTCCACTGCACCATACTACTTATGTTCTGCCTCTTTGGAGTCCTTCATTTCATTTTTGGTTATTCCTTTTTTTACATGGTAGGTCCTCAACTGGTGTTTGAAGGAATGCACGAGAGTTGCCATTCATGGGCCTGCACACAGGGCTGGGCAGGGATTTCTTTCTGTCATCGGTACCGTAATGTTTAAGACCCAGCTGGAGTCATTTTCCAAGTATTTGACCTGACTTCCTGTACTGTGTGTCCTCCCAGGGAGAGAGACTGATCCAGATTAAATGAGTAGTTCCGAGTGTTGCACAGAGCATCACTGTCTGAACTGGCATTAGCATTCACTTTGAGCTCCTTTGGTTAAAAGCCTGGTTAGCGTGAGCTGTTGGCCAGGTGAAACTGTTGCTATCGCCCTGACACTGTGAACCGAATCTCCTTTAAATGACAACATTGTTAGAGTCCTGTGGCCGCTTTTAAATATATTTTGGCTTCAGTTGCTTCTTTCTTGACCTGAAATTATAAAATGAGTTGGGAGTACCTATTGCAAAGCTGCAAATTTTGACAAGAACATTGAGATGTCGGCTTCTTTTTGCTGAAATCCTGAGGCAAGACATTTCAAGAAAATTTTATGTTCCCATAGAATGTCACAAGTTACTCTGGCATCAATTCCAGGTTGAAACCTTACAGTGTAATTATAGTTTCCCCCCTTCTTGTCCTTTGGGCAACCTTTCTTTTCTGTAAGAAATACAACTGGTCCCCTGGGTGGCAGGAAATCCAGGTGGGGGAGTGGGCTGCTTCTGGTTCGGCGGACTGTAAGGTATGCTGCACAGGGCTTCCTTGGGCCTGGCCCCACACTTCCTTTGCACCAGCACTGTCCTGCCAAAAGCCAGAAATCCTGGAAGAGGGCCGAATCTAGTTTATTACTTGCCTGTTGGAAATGTAGGCTTGTGTTTTTTGGCAAGGCATGAGCAGAGCCCGGTTATTTGACTGCTCTGAGATTTAACTCCATTCCGCTTTTGGACAATGACATATGAGCATGTGTGAACAGCAGCCCCATTTCCCCCCAGTTTGCCTGCCCTAGACATGCCCTCAGACAGCTGGCTCTGCCAGCTTTCCCAGTGCCAGGTTCTAGAGCCCCTGTTCTTCTCCCTCCCCTGCTCATTTCCAGTCCACCAGAGCGGGCAGTGTCAGAGGTCCCATGCAGCCTCCTCTCTTGTGAGGAACCCCAGAGCACCTGTAGTCTCTAAGCCAACTAGCCAGTATTGAGGGCTCCTGGGTTATGGAAATGAAACCAGGGCTGGGAAAAGATATTCCCTGTCCTGTATCACTTCCAATGAAGAGAAACAAGAATTTTAGCAAATTGAACATTGCTGCAGTGCCTAGAACAATGCCTGGCATGTAGTAGATGTTGAATAAATACTTGTTTAATGAACAACTTTATATTCTTCAATTATCTCATCCTAGGGACTGATAAGTTTTCTCATTCTATCAGAGAAAATAAAGGTTATGAGGGTTGCATTAGGTAGAGTAAGCTAGGCTACAGCTGTAAGTAGACTCAAAGATGTGTAATGGATCAAATGCAACAGAAGTTTATTTGTTGCTCTTGTTCAAGGTGGGTGTTTCTGGTTAGCAGGTGACTCTCCTCCATTGAGTTCAGGGACTCAGTTTCCTTCTATCTTGTGGCTCTGCCGTCCCCAAAGACCACCTTGCTGATAGTGTCCAGTGGCAAAAGGGAAAAAAGAGTGGACTAGCACAGTTAGGAGGTTCTTACGGGCCAAACCTATGAGTGTTGCCTATGACTTCGGCTAGAACTCAATTACATGGCCACAGCTAACTCCAAAGAGGCTGGGAAATACAGTCTATTGTGTGCCCAGGGGTACACTAAATTTTGAACATCTGTGTCATCTTCGAACTTAGATTCCTAAAATGCATCTGCAGCCCAGCTTTGAGATTCAGAAGGCCTGATGCAAGGTTCCATGGTAAATTTTGCTTGGTTTAAGTCCTCCTGCCAATGAAAACCAAGTGACATTAGGAACAGATCTAACAATAAGTTAAAAAAAAATCAAGCTATAATAGTTTATATTCAATATGATTTCAACTGTGTTAAATATTCTGTTTGTTTATTTTAGAGCAGGGTTGTCCAATATTTTGGCTTCCCAGCCACATTGGAAGAATTGTCTTGGGCCACACATAAACATATTAATGCTGAGGATAGCTAATGAGCTTAAAAACAACAACAACAAAAAAAACTCATAATATTTTAAGAAAGCTTACAAATTTATATTAGGCCACACTCAAAGCTGTCCTGGACTGCATGCAGCCCACGGCCGAACAATCTTGTTTTAGAGACAGGGTCTCCCTGGTCTCCTTCTGTTGCCCAGGCTGGAGTGCAATACCACAATCATAGCTTCCGGTAGCCTCAAACTCCTGGGCTCAAGTGATCCTCCCACTTCAGCCTCTCAAGTAACCAGGACTACAGGTGTGCCACCTACCTGGCTAATTTTTAAATTTTTTTGTAGAGACAGTGTCTTGCCATATTGCCCAGGCTGGTCTTGAACTCCTGGCCTCAAGCAATCCTCCTACCCACCTCCCCAAAGTGCTGGGATTACAGGTGCGAGTCATCGTGCCTGCCTATGTTAAATATTCTTAATAAATGATTAGACAGAAGGTAACATGACAGTGACTTAATTGTGGTTGCCCTTTAGAGATGAGATTATCAGTGGTATTTTGTTTTAGCCTGCTTCTGTTTTTCTGTATTTTACAAGATTTCTATCTTGAACATGCATTGCTTTTTTTTTTTTTTTTTTTCAATTTGAAATACCTTTTTTTTTTTTTTTTTTTTTTTTTAAACTGATGGGTAGGCTCCATCTTCAGAGATTCTGAGCCAGTGGGTCTGGAGTAGGGCCTGGTACTTGCTCTTTTATTTTTTAATTTAATTTTTTTACAGAGAGTGTCTTGTTCTGTCACTTAGGCCAGAGTGCAGTGGCACAATCATAGCTCACTCCAGCCTCAAACTCCTAGGCTCAAGTGATCCTCCTGCCCCAGCCTCCCCAGTAGCTAGGATTACAGGTGCGTGACACTATGCCCAGCTGACTTTAATTTTTTTTTTTTTTTTTTGTAGAGACAGGGTCTCGCTAGGTTTCCCAGACTGACCTTGAACTCCTGGCCTCAAGCAGTCCTCCCACAATGGCCTCCCAAATGCCAGGATTACAGGCATGAGCCACCATACCTAGCTTCTGTTTTGTTTTGTTTTGTTTTGTTTTCTCACAGTATGTGAATCTCATAAGAGTTCCATCTCCCTGCCTGCAGCTTTTTGACTCACCAGGATAGGAATATGCCTCTGAGAACTTTTTACGCACATGCCTTTACATGTCTGCTTCATTTATGAACTAGTCAGCTCTGTGTCAGGCCCTGTTGTAGGTGTCGAGGAAATATCACTACAAAACAGACAAGAATCCCTCCTTCAGAGACCTTACATTCCATTGTGGACACAGACAATAAACACGGTAAAAAAATAAGATAGATGGCATGTAAGATGGTAAATACAAGAATAAAAAAAAAAAGTAAGGGGATATAAAATGTCAGTAGGGTAGAAATTTTACATGGGGTGACACAGAAGGCCTTCCCAGAAAGGAACTTTTAATATAAAGACCTGCTGGTCAGTACAGAGCTAGCCAGGAGACTCTTCTTTATAACTCTGTCTAGATCTGAAATTTATCAGGTTATTTGACCAATGGCAACCCCAAATCCCAAGATTCTGTTCTTTACTATCACCCTGCTCACTGTCGTGTTTATCTGAATGTTCTGAACTAGAGTCTTATTTGCTATCTCTGTTGTTAGTTGGTAGGAGACTTGCAGATCTATACTCCTTTTAAAAACATCTGAATTGTTTTAGATCTCAGGGACTCCCAAAGGATTTCATCAGGAGGTGTCCCTAAAGCTTGAAGCAGCATTTAATTTTCTTCTGCCCACGTTGACAGACTGACTATAGTATTATAAGACTTTAGTTGACGTCCTGGCGATCCTCCATAGTTTTCATTTACACATGAGTAGAGAGCATTTCACTTGTCTAAGGTCCTTTCACACCATTGCTGGAAACTGCCCATGACAGCCAACCTGCAGCCCAGAGCAAAAGGCATAATGAATGTGGAAGGACTCTGCAGGACCATACGGAGCTATGTAAAAGAAAGGATTATTTTGGGGGTGTAAGAGTCATTTATATCAAATGCAGCCAGACAAGGAGGGATTGCAAAATGTTATTCTGTAGAAGTATGAGCATTAGTGGCGTAATACAGCATCATTACAGTGATGGTTTCTTCCTGTATCCCAAAGTCCCCCAGCCTCCTCTCTTCCCCTTTCTACCTGGAAGTTTACGAATTCTCTCTTTGCCCTTGCTGAGACTTAGATTCTCTGGAGTCTGTCACTCACCTGCCTCTCCATCAGATATTGTAATAGTCATAGTTGTATTCTGCAAAATCCGTGAAATTCACATGGCTCTAGCCTGAAATGTCCAGCCTCCACTCCTGCTCCCTGACTTCTGCTGTGCCCCCTCCTGCTGGTGTCTGCTCCCCTTCTCTGCCTGAGGAATCCTGCTCTCCCATCAGCAACCGCCAACATCCTGGCACATGCAGAGGTCCCGGTTTCCCTTGATCACAAGGGACCTCCTTCCTTATGCCTCCCTGGTGCACAGGAAGTGTTTGCTGGAACCGTTTATGTGGTAAAGTTGAGTCGGTGCCTCAGCCATCTGCATGAGGAATGACATGGGCCTCTGGACTCTAGATCAGGCTCCAGCCTGATGTCCCGAGCAGCCATCTATCATCCTGCCCGGGAGCACAAGGCAGCCCCAGTGGCAGTATACCAAATCATTAGACCAATATCATCATTGTCCCATGTGCGGTATCTTGGTTCTTTCTTCAGGCACGGGGTGGAGGATTTTAGCTGTAAAATATTTACCCACGCACCACTGCTAAGCTCTGTTCTCTGAGTCAAAAAGGGGTTGTGTTCACACATGGTTTGGGTGCATACACGAGGGAATTACAGAGCACATAGTCCAGTTTTCTATTGTTTCATTACCTTAGCTGAGGTTTTAAGATGTTAAGTGTGTCACTTTGGTCACACAAACTTACTTTTACCTCTCTTTAATTCTGGACATCGGAAAAGGGAGTCCAGGTTAGTGGCGTGGCTTGGAGCCTTTCCTTCACTATCCACCTGCTGCATCTGTGGAGGCTTCTCCAGCCCCTCACCTGATGTGGTAGTGACAGCAGCAATAATGTTGCAGCTGTCGTTTTTACATGTTTACCATGTGCCAGGTCTAGAATAGGCATTTTGCATATATCAGCTATATTTCACGATCAGCTGAGATTCAGAGACCTGAATGTGTTCCCGGTTACACAGTTGTCGAAGTGGAGCTGGGATGCAGGCTCAGAGCTAACGTCCACCTTCGAAACTCTAAAGCCGCGCTTCCTTTCCACCTCTTTGTCCATTGTCTTCAATTCTTTTATTTTTATTTATTTATTTATTTTTTGAGATGGAGTTTTGCTCTTTGTGGCCCAGGCTGGAGTGCAGTGGTGCAATCTCGGCTCACTGCAACTCCTGCCTCCCGGGTTCAACGGATTCTCCTGTCTCAGCTTCCCAAGTAGCTGGGATTACAGGTGCCTGCCACCACACCCGGCTAATTTTTGTATTTTTAGTAGAGATGAGTTTTAACAATGTTGGCCAGCTGGTCTCGAACTCCTGACCTCAGTTGATCTGCCCGCCTTGGCCTCCCAAGGTACTGGGATTACAGGCGTGAGTCACCGTGCCTGACCTTGTCTTCAATTCTTTTTTTTTTTTTTCTTTTTTTTGACAGATTTTCGCTCTTTCGCCCATGCTGGAATGCAGTGGCGATCTCGGCTAACTGCAGCCTTTGCCTTCTGGTTTCAAGCGATTCTCCTGCCTCAGCCTCCCGAGTAGCTGGGATTATAGGCGCCTGCCATCATGCCTGGCTAATTTTTGTATTTTTAGTAGAGACAGAGTTTCACCATGTTGGCCAGGCTGGTCTCAAACTCCTGACCTAGTGATCCTCCCGCCTCAGACTCCCAAAGTGCTGGGATTACAGGCGTGAGCCACTGTGCCTGGCCGTGTCTTCAATTCTTTAAGGTCTTATTCTTTCATCCTGTCTCCTGCTCATGCCCAATGTTCAAGCATGTTCCCTTACCCTGTATTCCTTTATAATACTCGCTGCATAGTGTCACAGTATACTTAGCATCTCAAAAGCAGTCTTTATAGGATGCAACCACACTTTAAAATAGCCCTGAAGACCCCACATTTACGTTCTTGAAGTGGCAACTCCGCCTACCTTGCAGGTAACTTCTTTATACTTCCAACCGTGCTTTGGAGAATGGGGCTTTTTAACAGTGTCTCAGAGGACTGTGGTGGTACAGAAGGTAGACAGAGAGTGGACTCATGCCTAGGAGCTTCATCCTTCCCCACTGCCACTCTGGAGGGGTTGCAGAGAGGGAGCCTCGAATTAGTCAGAAAGGGCTGGGGTGCTTGGTTACAGACGGGGCCTTTTCCAGGAGGCAAAAGATCTCAGATGTCTACGTGCCCTACACCGCTGTCTTTCATGGGACCCGAGGAAAGCTCTCCCAAGGAACGGGAGGAGTGGGACTTCTGTCCCTCAGGCTTTTATTTTTACTTGTGATGTTTTTCTTTTCCTGGTTTGCTGCCATCAATGCCATTTGCAAGGCCTTTTGTGGGGAGGAGGTATAATCTGCCTGTTTAGTTTTGGAAGCTGCTTAAAGGTTTTAGGATTTCTGTCCCACTTTCCCACCTAGACGTGATGCCAAGGGTAAGAAGGCATCGGGGAAACTGGGCAAGTCGTAAAGTAATTATTGGAACAGTCATACAATTCAAATTCCTGCCGTTCTGATATCGCTTAATTCTTTTGAAGACCTGAATAAAATGTGTTCTTTTTCTGAGACATTTAGATACATTGTTTGAACAAAGGAAACAGGGTGACTTCAAAATGTCCAGTATGTGGAAATCGATGCCGTTCAGCCTGTGGTGTAATTAATGAAAACATTGGCGACAGTCGGCCTCATTGTTTGTCATTGTGCAACAGGAGGTGGTACACTAATAAGGAGCCGGGGAAGGTTTACGTAATTCAGAAGGAAGCAGACGTGTGCAGTTTTGACTGATGCCCTTCTCACTGCAGATCCAGGCTCACCGAGCAGGTTCCTATTCCTGATGGACGTGGAGATGTCTGATTGGATTTTGTCATTTGATTTTTGACACTGATTAATGATAGATTTTTATTTCCCTTATGGTCAGAAATAATTGTCTTGAAAAGCTTCACTTTAGATCATAGTTTTCACACACAGTTATAATTCATTGGGTAAAGCATAGTAGAACAAACTATGGAAAAGGAAATGTCATTGGTAGACTTTGGTCGCTTAGGACAGGTGTGGTGGCCCTTGGAATCAGGAGATCTGGAGTTCTGTCCTGGCCCCATCAGTCCCAGCTGTGTGAGCTTAGGGATAGTGCTTGCCCACTCTGGGAGCAGCCTTCATCTGTAAAAGGAGGGGGTTGCTCAGGACCCTTGCACCTCCTTCCTTTTACAGATGAAGATTGCTTTGTCTAAGCCCCCTTGGTGAGGTCAAGAATTGTGAAATGTTTGTACAAGTGAGATGTCAAGAGTACAAAATGTACAGACGAACTGCCAGTGAAAATGTCATTTAAGTTTATCTGCTAACAGTTTATTCCCTTTGGTCTCCTCTCAGTTTTTGTTTTGTAATTGTCCATGTTTTGTCTGGTAATTTATTATTTTTTTTATTAGAAAAGTAAACACCAAAGTGTTTTTCCATTCCGCTTGACAGCATAACAAATTGCCATTTAAATTCATCTCTTAAGGATTTCAAAAAGGCATTAAACACACTGCTCAACATGGTATGTATTTAATTGAAATGAGCTGACTTTTGAATTAATTAGCTCTTTAGAAAAAATAGGCAAAAATGGAGCCGAAAAGCATGGGTTTGAATTCTGGCTTCACTGCTAGTACGAGCTGTGTGACCCTGGGCACCTTTTCTCATCTCTGAATCTCTAATTTCTCATCTCTAATAGGAGAGGGACACTTTCCCTATGAGAGTGTGGTGAGGTATAAAGATAATGTATGTAAACTGCACAGTACAGTATCTGACAGTTAGTAGATACTTAATGGATAGCAGCTGTAACTGTTATACATTATTTTATTACAATAATTAAAATAACTAGAGAATTTGTGTATATTATATACTGGGTTCTATCTACCAAATCATTCTAATATGATGTGCATTGATTACCAAAAGAAATAGTCCTCCAGTATGGATGCCAGTTTTGTTTCTGTTAGAGTGTGTGGAGTGAGATTTACCAGAGAGGGATTTCTCTTTTCTGGTTGACAGATCAAAGGTACGCCTATGAGAATACATGGCAAGAATTTATTCTTTTTTTTTTTTTTAACAGTGATAAAATATACTTTACTTTGTTGAGTCAGAGGGTTGTAAAAAAAATTATTGCTAAAGTAGGTATCAGGCAAACAGAAAGGTGCTTTAGAAGTCCAGTTACCTTGGAGTTTATTTAAACTAAGAGAAAAACGTCATAATGTTTTCATGCGATACATATCTGGTTCTTTAACAATTGTGTGACAAACAGCAGAAGGAATTAAGGAATGCCGCACTTGTGATCCATACAAAACACCAACACTTTAGGTTGTACATAATTAAAGAAATATCTCAAACACTTTTTAAAACACTGTAGTAGCCAATACATAGAGGCATGCCGTAGGTAGGCACAGGAATGCAGTTTAGAAAAATAAATAAATCACATAGGAACTACTCAATTTCCTTAAAATCACTGAGCAAGAAAAGCAACATTGAACTGGCTGGGCGCAGTGGCTCACGCCTCTAATCCCAGCACTTTGGGAGGCCGAGGCGGGCGGATCACGAGGTCAAGAGATCAAGACCATTCTGGCCAACATGGTGAAACCCCGTCTAATTTTTGTACTAAAAATACTAAAAGTACTTTTTTTGTACTAAAAGTACAAAAATTAGCTGGGCGTGGTGGCGCTCGCCTGTAGTCCCAGCTACTCAGGAGGCTGAGGCAGGAGAATGGCGTGAACCCAGGAGGCGGAGCTTGCAGTGAGCCGAGATCGCACCACTGCACTCCAGCCTGGCGACAGAGCGAGACTCTTTCTCAAAAAAAAAAATTAAAAAAAAAAAAAAAAGGAAAGCAGCATTGAACTTTCATATTGATTTTACACAGCTTTTATACAGTACCTTGACTTAAATCCAAGAGCAAAACTTGACTGTCCTCCTCTATTTTTGGTAAACTTACGTGACTTTCCCCCCTGGATTTTACCTGGGAGTAGCCTTTTTAAATTTTTATTTAAAAGAGGGCAGGTTTGGCACTTTATAGTAATGTCACCAATGTTAATATTTCTTGGGATCTCAGGAAGATTCACATTTTTTACAGCTGATACAGGTTCAGCACAGGCTGAAGCTCCCCCTCAGCCAGCCTCAGATTTTTCCAGCTTATTTTGTGCACCAATTTGTGTAACAATCCCATTCATGTTTGTCTCCAATACCATTCCCCCATCATCATTTCTGCAAGAATATTGTGAACCGTGTCTACATGGAAAATCAAATCCAGTTCACAAACATTTTCAAAACATTTGTCTAATGTTTCCACAAATCCATAGGGCTGGTAGAACTTGGAGAGCCGCGGTTTCCCATGATTGTTAAGATTAGGATCGCCTTGATCGTGGCTGGGTCGGGCCCACCGGGTAGGCACTGGGGGCCAGGGTGCGGGCCGGCGCGCAAGCCTCGCCTCGTGATCTTGCCGGCGATCCTTCCCCACCCACTCCCTCCCGCACGCCGGCAAGAGTTTATTCTTACAGGCTGCCATTGCAAACTACTGTCTTCAGAAACAAGGTCACTTCAAAGTGTCCAGAATGTGGTAATTGGTGCCATTCAGCCTGTGGCGTAATTAAGGAAAACATTTGCCCATTGTTGTCCATTGTGCTAGAGAGAGGCGTCCAGGAAAGATTCATACTCCCAAACCCTCCATGGGAGTGGTGATCTGGAGAGGGTCGGACAGCCAGAAAGCACATAGTTGACCCTGAAAGGTTTTGTTGCAGCCTGTCATACCCTAACCTTTATAATCTGTCTGAATCTCTACTGCAGGTCAAGTAGCCATGGTCTGGTGGGGATAGAGGTGGCAGGTGGGCTAGAACGTGCCATATCTTGATTTGTGGCAATGGGCCTCCTACTCTTCGGAGTGGAGACAGCTAATACCATGAGTCAAAGACCAAATCGGGATAGCCGATGTATAAAAACACAAGCACCGGGTTTGCAAACTGGAAGAAAGGTCTTGAAGAAGGTGTCAGAAGCAAAAAATGGTAAGTATGTGAGGAGGTGGATATTTTAATTAGCATGACTATAGAAATCATTTCACTATGTATATGTATGTCAAAACATGTGTGCTGTAAATATATAGTTTTTATTTTTTAAAAAATGAATGCTGTCAGTATGAGTCCATTTAAAAATAAGCAGGCTTAAAGGTTCAAGGAAATTGCTGAGAACTGGCATCTCACGCTTCCTTTTGGGGTTAGTCGATGCATGGTATGGCTAATGTAAAGATCCAGGATCTTATGAACACAGCTTTTTACCTTGGACTGTTCCTCTTGCAGACTCAGCTACCACCTTCCTTTAGGATTAAAAATGTTTTACTTAGCCTCAACAATTTGTTTTAGAGCCACTTTCATAGTGCCTAGTCCTGGATTCCCAAATAGGTTTCTTCATCTTCGTAAACTCGAAAGTGGCCATCTGGGGTTCAGTGTCAGGAAGGGTTCTGAGTCCAAGTCAGATTTAAAGAATAACCATGATGCATTACTGGTATCTGTCGGGGGTCTGGGAGAAGGAATTGAATGTATTTGAATACACTTATTTTATTATTTTTTAAAACTGAGTTATCATTCACGTAGTTCACCCTTTTACAGTGTGCATTTCAGTGGTTTTAGTATTCTTGCAAGATTGTGCAGCTACACCACTATGTAATTCCAGAACATTTTCATCTGCCTAGAATGAAACTCTATGTACATCAGCAGTCACTCCCCATACCTCTATTCCCCTATCCCCTGGCAACTACCAGTCTCCTTTCTGTCTCTCTGGACTTGCCTGTTGGGGGTATTTCATATAAAGGGAATCATGTGATATGTGGCCCTTGTGTCTGGTTTCTTTTACTTAGCATAATGTTTTCAAGGTTTATCCATGTTGTAGCTTATATCAGTATCTCATATCTTTTTATGGATGAACAATATTTTATTCTATGAATAGACCACATTTTGTTTATCCATTTTTCAGTGGATGGATATTTGGGTTGTGTCTACTTTTTGCCTATTATGAATAATGCTGCTATAAACATTTGTGTACAAGGTTTTGGGTGAACATATAATTTACTTCTCTTGGGAATACATGTGAAGTGAAATTGCTGGCTGTATAGTAACTTTATGTTTAACTTTTTGAGAAACGGCCAAACTGCTCTTCAAAATGACTGTCCCATTTTACATGCTTACCAGCAATGCACAGGGGTTCCAGTTTCTTCACACCCTCACTAACATTTGTCATTGTCTGCCTTTTAATTTGAGCCATCCCAGTGGGTGTGAAGTTGTATTCTTTCTGCTTTTGATTGCACTTTTCTAATGTCCAGTGATGTTGAACATCTTTTCCTGTGTTTACTGGCCATTTGTATATCTTCTTTGGATAAATGGCTTCAGTTATAATTCCAAGGCCAGATTTTGCCCTAGGGACAGTACTGATTTATATAGTTAGGCTGACTGCTTCCTAATTGGGAGAATTGGTAGTTCTGAATTTCAGAAACATCTGAGAAGGGTGGATATTGAAGCTTTATATAAAATATGTAGCAGTTTTCTTTTAATGTGATTATGATTTGGGAACTTTTTAGTTTTACTACCATGAAAAACAGAACTTCCAAGCATACTTTGCCATTCATTGTTAGAATAATATAAACATACATGTTTATAGCAGTGTTCTGTTTTCAGATCATCCTACATATATTATCTCATTATAACCATTACAACACTGCCGTGAGGTAGGATGAATATTAGCCATTATTATCCCCACTTTTAAAAAGTAGAAGCTGAGAGTCAGCTTGTGATTTGCCCAAGTTCACCAACTAGTAGAATTTAAATTCAGGCCTTCTGACTTACTTTGTTAATGGTAATGAATTATTAGTGATGTCAGGGATTTGAAGGGTGAGCTTACATTGCTAAAAATCAGCAATATGCCCATCTTCAAATAACAGATTGTTACTGACTTCAGAATGTATTATTTGAATAGCTGTAAAACAGGATGAATTGTTACTTTTCCATTTAGCCTCTTTAGCTACAAAGTACTTACAATAAAAGAGCAGAATTACATATCACTGCCTGCTCATTACATTTTGAACCCAGAAGGAAATCCACCCAAAGAAAGAACAAAGCTGGGAATGGATTTAGAACCCTAAAAAGAGGCAGCCTTTGGTTAGCTGACCTTGAACCATCCATCATGCCTCCTCCTCCCAGCCTCCATATTCCTAAACTGACATCCTTGGGGAACAGGAATTTAAATGTAGAACGAGTGCAGAGAAAGTGAGATATCTATTGAGATCAAATAAAAATTGACCTTGAGACTAACATTAACTGACAGACACCACATTAAAAGCTAAACATTACCTTTAAAGGGTGGGAAAGATGAGTGACTTTTTAAATGCCGTCTTGAGCTGGGCACAGTGGCTTACGTCTGTAATCCCAGTACTTTGGAAGGACGAGGAGGGCAGATCACCTGAGGTTAGGAGTTCGAGACCACCTGGCCTACATGGTGAAACGCTGTCTCTACTAAAAATATAAAAATTAGCCAGGCGTGGTGGCACACACCTGTAATCCCAGCTACTTGGGAGGCTGAGGCAGGAGAATTGCTTCAACCCAGGAGGTGGAGGTTGCAATGAGCTGAGATTGTGGCACTGCACTGCAGCATGGGCAACAGAGTGAGACTCGGTCTTAAAAAAAAAAAAAAAAGCAGTCTTGATTAAGTCCATATGCAGTCTTTTTTGTTTTTAACATTTCTTTTAAACTTAAGTATTTTGGGGATAGAAAAATAAGTCTATTGATCATATGGATGTGAATTTTGTTAACTGTGAAACACAGCTTACCTACTCATTTTTCTTTTGACCATGAGGGTTATTAAATTTGCTTTTGATCATTTCATGCATATCTACATCTTAAGTTTTTAGAATTTAAAAGTTGTACACTATCTTTATGAAGTTCTTACTGTTATGTTGCACATCTTTTCTAACTTAAAATAAGCCCTTGTAGTATGTCACTAATTTGGAAAATTTACCTTTACTTTGAAAAGAACTACATCAAGCATAGTGAGGCCAGGTGTGGTAGATCATGCCTGTAATCCCAACACTTTGGGAGGCTGAGCGGGTGGATGGCTTGGGCCAGGAGTTTGGAGATCAGCCAGGGCATCATCTTGAGACCCCATCTCCACAAAAAATAAAAATTAGCCAGGCATGGTGGCATGTGCCTGTAGTCTCAGCTACTCAGGAAGCTGAGATGGGAGGATTGCTCGGACCCAGGAGTTCAAGGCTCCCGTGAGCTATGATCAGGCCACTGTACTCCAGCCTGGGCAACAGAGCGAGACCCTGTCTCCAAATAACAAACCACAGTGACATCTTTCATAGGATGACCCATCTGCCTCAAACCAGCATCAAAGCTTATTTTATGAGGAAAATTTATATAACAAAAGTTTTTGAAGCACCGTACTCTCTTGTTGGAGAGGATATCATTTATTAAAGCTTTTGGTTTTGCTTTCAAAATATTTTTTGAAAAATATACATGTACGCATGTACGCCTATGTATTTTTATTTTTACCATATTGGATAGCATCAAACAGTGGTAATAGTTATTCTCATGGCTAAACATATAGATTAAAAACACATGGAAGGACTTGTAGGTAAATAATGATTTCAGTTATTACGTAGTGCGAAATGATTCTATCAGGAAACTGTGGGATGAGTAATGTGACTCTGCTGTAAGATTTTCAGTAGCAGAAGTACAGAACAAAAATAAAACATGTCAGCAAAAAACACAATGGTAAGTTGTCATCTGAGTGATTGTGTAAGCCTTGAAGATAGTTAATGTAACCGAGATGAGGCGTCCACATAAGCTCCTGCCTTCACAATAGATATGTTGTGTCTATTTGGATATCACAAAATGTCATTCGGTTTTTTATTCTGCTTTCATGTACTACATTTCTTATCTTGCTTTTTCATTCTTCATGTAAAAGAGGTTTCTAGACAGAGTTTCTGTTTCAGTTCACATATATTTTATCACTTATGGAGCTCCTTTTTCCTGGGAACTGTTCTAGGAGTTTTATACATTTTATCTCATTTAATTCTCACGTCAACCCTATGACGTAGGCATTGTCAATTTCACCAATTTTAGGGGACAGAGCAGCTGAGGGTCAGCAAGGTTAAGTAACTGGCTTAAGGTCATGAAGGTAATCAGTCATCTGCAGAAGCAAGATTTTGACTCAGTTCTGTCTGATGCTACTGTCGTTATCCATAAGCGATGTATGTATATTTTAGTTAGAAAACTGGAATGTTTGGCCGGGCGCGGTGGCTCACGCCGGTAATCCCAGCACTTTGGGAGGCCGAGGCGGGCGGATCACGAGGTCAGGAGATCGAGACCATCCTGGCTAACACGGTGAAACCCCATCTCTACTAAAAATACAAAAAATTAGCTGGGCGAGGTGGTGGGCGCCTGTAGTCCCAGCTACGCGGGAGGCTGAGGCAGGAGAATGGCGTGAACCCCGGGGGGCAGAGCCTGCAGTGAGCCGAGATCGCGCCACTGCACTCCATAGAAGCTCTCTCCCCTCCCCACAAACTCTGAGTCACTCAGCTTGAGCTCAGGAATGATTTCAGATGTCTAAACAGGTCATTTGCAGGGTCTGGGTAGTCTGCCCACAGAGGAGGTAAAAGCTCTGGCTCAATCTTGAACCATTGCAAATTTAAGCCAGTGGATCTGAAGGCAATTGAGTTCTGTTCTGCCACTCCAGCTCAGGCAGGACAGCTGCTTCCCTGAAACAGGGCCCTCTGAGGTTAGATGTACAGCCTCAGTGGGCATCAGTGTCATGAATAGCCGCTCCTCATTTGGCAGCAGTAACTATCCAGAGACAAAGGATAGGATTCGGGATAACCGTGGTCATAAGCTAGAAGTCTCCAGAGTCCTTAGAGGAATTTGAAAACTGAACAGAATTTTTTTCTTTCCACACTGTGTCAGGGCTTTAGCAAAGGAGTTCTGTTGTGACAATTGTCTGGGTAACATCTGCCTACTGTTTTTTGTTTTGTTTTGTTTTGTTTTGTTTTCCTGATCTGTAGTCCATCTTGCTTAACAGTGCCCAAGGGCACAAGCTTCACACTGTTAATAGTTTTACTCTTAACACCTCCTTGGCTCCTTTGTCCCAAGAAGGTGAGATCCCACTTCCAGGTGATCTCCTGCAGGACTTTTCCCTGAGCCTCTAACCCATTTCTAGCCCATATTTCCCCCTCAAGAACAATAATTCAGTAATGTTTTCAGTTCTCCTGAAACAATCCCAAATTTTGGATTTTTTCTTAATGTTGAATTATAAGAGTTATTGATATATTCATTCTGGATGTAAGACTGTCATTTGATATATAGTGAAATTTTTTCTTTCTTTGTTTATTTTTGCCCATTATTTTCATAGGGAATAAAATATTATGAAATGTTCTCAGTCTGCTGCTTGCCTTTTCATTTTATTTCTTTTCTTTTCTTTCCTTTTTTTTTTTTTCTTTTTTGAGACAGTCTCGCTCCGTCACCCAGGCTGGAGGGCAGTGGTGCGATCTTGACTCACTGCAACTTCTGCCTTTTGGGTTCAAGAGATTCTCCTGGCTGGCCACGGTGGCTCACGCTTGTAATCCCAGCACTTTGGGAGGCCGAGGCAGGTGGATCATGTGGTCAGGAGCTTGAGACTATCCTGGCTAACACGGTGAAACCCCATCTCTACTAAAAGTACAAAAAATTAGCTGGGCATGGTAGCACACGCCTGTAATCCCAGCTACTCGGGAGGCTGAGGCAGGAGAATTGCTTGAACCTGGGAGGTGGAGGTTGCAGTGAGTCAAGATCGCGCCACTGCACTCTAGCCTGGGTGACAAAGCCAGACTCCGTCTCAAAAAAGAATTAAAAAAAAGAGAGAGATAGTCTCCTGCCTTAGCCTCCCAAGTAGCTGGGATTAGCAGGCATGTGCCACCAGGCCCGACTAATTTTGTATTTTTAGTAGAGACAGGGTTTCTCCATGTTGGTCAGGCTGGTCTCGAGCTCCTGACCTCAGGTGATCCACCTGCCTTGGCCTCCCAAACTTCTGGGATTACAGGCATGAGCCACCGCACCCGGCCTTAATGGTATCTTTTTAAGAGAAGTTTTTAGTTTTGATGAAAATCAATTTAACCATTTTTATTTTATGGTTAACACTTTTTGAAACTTAGAAATCTTTGCATACCCCAAGGTAGCAATTTTTTTTTTTTTTAAAGACAGGGTTTTGCTCTTGTTGCCCAGGCTGGAGTGCAATGGCATAATCTCGGCTCACTGCAACCTCTACCTTCCAGGTTCAAGTGATTCTCCTGCCTCAGCCTCCCAAGTAGCTGGGACTATAGGCATGCACCACCACCTCCAGCTAATGTTTTGTATTTAGTAGAGACGGGATTTCACCATGTTGGTCAGGCTCGTCTCGAACTGCTGACCTCAGATGATCCACCCGTCTCAGCCTCCCAAAGCTCTGGGATTACAGGCGTGAGCCACTGAGTCCAGCCAAGGTAGCAAAGATTTTTCTCCTATATTTTCTTCTAGAAGTTTTATAGTTTTAGCTTCCATATTTAGGTCTGTGATCCATTCCATATTAATTTCTTGTGTATGCACTGTGAGATGTAAGGCTCCAGGTTCATTCTTTCTCTTTGTGGATATCTAGATATTCTAGCACAAATTGTTGAAAAACTTTTTTCCCCCATTAAATTGCCTTGAGATCTTTGTAACAACAATAAAAAAATCAATTAACAATATATTTTTAGATCATTTTTACACTGTCTTTTGTTTTATGGATCTGTGTGTCTCTATGCCAGCACCACACTATCCTGATTACTGTAGTTTTATAGTAAGTCCTGAAATCAAGTACTGTAAGTCTTCAAACTTTGTTCTTTCAATTATTTTGGCCATTCTGTGTACTAAGAATCAGCTTACCAATTCCTGTAAAACAATGCCTTCTAGACTTTTTACTTGGATTGCAAATGAACCTCTTAATCAATTTGGCAAGCATCAGCACCTTGACCGTGTTGAATCTGACAATCCATGAACATGATATACTTCATTTCTTGAGATCCCTTTTAGTTTTTCAGAGCGATGTTTTGTAATATCAGTGTACAGATCTTATACATATTTTGCTGAATTTTTCCCTAAGTATTTCATGTTGCCGACGCAGTTGTAAATAGTATTCTTTTATTCCACTGTCCTGTCATTCATTGTTATGTAGAAATACAATTGATTTCTGTATGCTGACCATGTATCTTGCAGCCTTGCTAACTTCACTTTAGTAGTTTTTAGTAGATTTTTAAAGATTTTCTAAGTGTATTATCATGTCATCTGCAGATAAAGACCCTTTTGCTTATTCCTTTCTAATTTCTTTGCCTTTTACTTAATTTATTGCATTGGCTACTGCATATAGTACAATGTTGAATAGAGGTGGTAAGAGTGTAGACATGCTTGCCTTGTTCCTAATCTTAGGGAGAAAAGTGTCTTTCACCAATAACTGTATTGTCAGCTGGAAGTTTTTCATAGATGCACTTTATCAGGTTGAGGAAGTTTCCTTCTGTTCCTACTTTGCTGAAAATTTCCATAATAAATGCATGTTCAGTTTTTTGAGTGCTTTTTCTTATATCCATTGAGACAATCATAGATTTCTAACCTCTATTCTGTTGAAATGGCAAGTTACTTTGATTGATTTTTCAGATGTCGAAAAAGTGTGTCTCCTTGACATAAGCATTGCTTGGTCATAATGTATTATCCTTTTTGTATATTTCTGGATTTTATTTGTTAATATTTTGAGTTCATGTACTGAGTGGACCAGCCAAGTAGGCAGATGGGCCCGCACCATCCATATAAGGTATTTGGAACAACTTTGAGCACATTCTACAGATGCCTAATAACCTTAGTGAGGCCTGCAGTTCTATGCTCAAATAACCTCCCCTTCTTTTTCACTTGTCCTTTGAAATGGACTGCCCCAGAGATGGTATATGAATCTGTAGGGCAAAGTTTGAAGTATGAGCTTGAGTAAATGATGAGTTCCTTGAAGACAAAGGCTTTATTGCATTCTTTTTTTTTTTTTTTTTTCCCCCTGGGATAGGGCCTTGCTCTTTTTTTCCAGGCTGGAGTGTAGCGGTGTGATCACAGCTCACTGCAGCCTGGACCTCCTGAGAGCAAGCAATTTTCTCACCTCAGCCTCTGGAGCAGGTGGGACTACAGGTGTGTTCCATCACACCTGGCTAATTTTTATTTTATTTTTTGTAGAGATGAGGACTCAGTGTGTCGTCGTGGCTGCTCTTGAGTTCCTGGGCTCAAGTGGTCCTCCTACCTCAGCCTCCCAAAGTACTGAGATGACAAGCATGAACCACCGCACCTGGCCAGCATTCCTATCTGTCAGTATAAGATTATATTAACTAGTGTTACAGAAACCCCAAATGATGGTGGCTTATACAAAATGAAAGTTTATTCATCTCTCTCAGGCCTGGTCTCCTCTTACACATAAACATCCTCATGGACCCAGGCTGCTTCTAGCTCATGATCTGCCAACTCAAAGATGTAACCTTCATTATTCTCATGGTCTACATGGGGTGCACCTGCATTTCAGCAGCAGCAGAGTGGAGGAGGGGACAGTGAAGAAGAGAAGCAACAAAGAGTGCATGCCGGCTGCCTTTCCAGGAAGGTGCCTGGAAGCTGCCAGGAGAGACTTCTGCATGCACACACCACTGATTATAACTTGGTCATGTGTCACGGCAAGGCGAGGGTTTTGAGGCAAGAGTTGTGGAGAATAAAGAGTTGTTCACTTTCTATTTGAAAATCAGCTAGTTTATTCATTTAATTTTTCTTAAGTTCCTGAAACAAAGTTATTTGCAATTTATATGTTTCTGGGCCTGAGTTTCCTGGAATAGTAAAGTCATGTTAACAGAAACAGTGGAAAAGAAAATTCATGTTAATGTACACGGTAAGCTGTGTGGGTGTAAGTAGTTTTGGTTCTCAATATCTATCCTAGGACCTCGCATAGTGCATGGCACATGGCACGTGATGCTACTCAATAACTGTCTGTTGCCTGTGTGGTAATAGCTCACACTTACCCAGTGCTCACTGTGTGCTGGGCAGGATGATAATGTTCTCCTTGCAGAATCTCATTTAATCCTCAGGACAGTCTTTTAAGTGGCCACTCTTGTTATCCCCACTACCTTGCAGATGAGGAAACCGAGGCTTACGTATATTTTCATTCATTTATTCAACAAATATTTATTCAGGACCTGCTATGTGCTGGGTACTGGAGATATAGCAGGGTTTAAAGCACACCAAATCCTTGCTCTCATGGAATCAGCCTTCTGGGTAATTTTCTAAAATCACATAGATACTGGGTCGAGGGTAGCCCTTAAACCTAGGTGGTCTGACTCCTGAACTTGCAATCTTAACCGTTGTTTTATTGGTAGATGAATGGATTGATGAGTGTGGTGAACAAAAATTGTGACTATCCATTTCACAAACAGCTTCGTGGTTGCCCTTTAGCTCCAGCTTGGATGGTTAGATTGCCCTGTCTGAAGCTGGATTTATTTTATTTTATTTATTTTTGGAGATGGAGTCTCGCTCTGTCACCCAGGCTGGAGTGCAGTGGTGCGATCTTGGCTCACTGCAACCTCTGCCTCCTGGGTTCAAACGATTCTCCTGCCTCAGCCTCCCAAGTAGTTGGGACTATAGGCGCACACTGCCACGCCCGGCTAATTTTTTGTATTTTAATAGAGACGGAGTTTCGCCGTGTTGCCCAGGCTGGTCTCGAACTCCTGAGCTCAGGCAATCCGCCCTCCTCAGCCTCCCAAAGTTCTGGTATGAGCCACCACGCCTGGCCAAGCTGGGTCTTTTGAATGGCTATGGGTGCTCAGTGAGGCAACCCTAGGTGATATCATAACACCTCTGCTTATCCAGAAGACAATTAGTATATATGTTATCTTGTTAGAATCCATGTGCCAAAAATAGAAATAGGAAAGGCAAATAAGGATATATCCCTAGATTGTCAAAATGGTGATTCAGAATTGTGTGAGATACTGGTTTACTGCCTACAGTCACATCAAATGTGTTACAATGAGCATGTGTCTGGGGGTTCGTGGAGTAAAGGTAGGGATTATGGATCAAGGACAATGTTACCTCAAGAGCAAAGGTCAGAGACATCAAAAATAGGCATCAACAGTTTTACCATCCTTTTCCAGATAGTCCATTGTTGCTTGCACCAAGTTGAGACTTTCTTTGCAACAAAGAATGGGGGAAACATTTAAAAGGTAATAACTTTCCCTACATGTGATCTAGTCTTCTTTAATGCAGTGCCACGTGCCAACAAAAGTCTCATAAAGCACCAGTGATACAGGGTCTTGCTCAGGAAATATGTGTAAAAGAGGGGAGCTGCTGGACTTCGGAGAGCTGGGGTCCAGTGTAGGTTCTGTCACTGTGAGATCTTCAAAGTCACGCAAACTCAAGTTTCCTCTTGCGGTTTTTTTCTTCCATGGAGCATAATGGAAGTAAGACATGATGTCAGCACGCATGAACAACCTGTTTGAACTCAGTGTGCTCATCTCAGCATTAACAGAAAGTGCCTTTACAAAAGCTTTGGAGACATTAAACACGGGCCCCAGCTGGATGTGGAAACATGTAGGGAAGTACATGCCATTTGACAAGTACCTGTGAAGATGGCTGTGAACAGTCTTCATCAGGTGTGAATCGGGGATGGATTGACTGCCAAGGACTTTAGACTTGATAAGTTAGAGCCTTGGAGGCCATTTCAGATAGAAACTCTTCAAGCATCTATCTAGTCTGGTAGGGTTGCGGGGTGGAGGGCCAGGAATGCCCTGCCAAGTAAAATGTGATGCCCGAGAAGGTTCCCAATTCAGGATTCCACCTGGCTCCCACGAGCCCCGCTGTCTCTCAGGTGTGTGGAGTGTTTCTCAGTGCTCATTGCAAGGCCACCCTGAAAAGGCCCAGCGGGTGACTGTCAGGACCACAGGACTCTCCTGGCTCACTACTTCCAAAGTGCTGAGCGCCAGACAGGGCTGCAGAGAACCCCGGAAAGTGTGCATTGTTTCCACATTATTTGGAGTTTCTCACTCCCATGTTTTTTTTTTTTTTCTCTTCTCCTTCTCCCCGTGCCCAACTAGCTGCTCCTCCTGCCCTGCAGGCACTCAAGCAAGAGGCCCGCCAGAGGACAGCAACACTGATGTGCTTCGGTCGCCTCCCGCCCCTCCTGCCCTCCCCACAGATGATAGCAAAAGGGAAATTATTTTTTCTTGGGGCTGGCTTTGGTCCCCCGTGTTTTCATGAGTTTGTTTTTGTGTCTCTCGAAGCCATTTTCAGAGGCTCTCTGGTACCGGGTGTTGAGCCCTTGTCCTGATGCAAGGTCGGGAAGGGGCGTGCTCCAGGAATAAACCAGAAGGAAGGGCTGGAGGAGCCTGGGAACCTTGGGATAGGAGTGTGGGCCTCAGTAGTTGAGCTGTTTTCTCCTGGCCTGGGAAAGAAACAAGGGGTGAGGGGGTGGAAGTGGGGTCCATGCTGAGGAAGGGGTGCAAGTGCCCAACACGATGGCGGTCTCTCTCTCTATTTTTATCTGGGTGATGGGTACTAAAGAGCCTCTGTAAGGGGAAGAGAAGAAGTCACGCAAGGGCAGCCCAGAGCCCGCAGTTTCTTTAATGGGGGAGAAGGGCACATGAGATAGTCCTCACAGTTTGACAAATGTGGTGTGTTGTAAGGACGGGAGCCTTGGTTGCATTTTTGGCCCTGGCAGGGAGAGCCTCCCTTCCATTGCAGTGTTCCCCGAGTGTCCGCCAAACTGCAGCCGTCCAGGGAAGAGAAGGATTGAGTGAAGAACATGCATTTTGGGGTTTGGGATTTTTGTTATTGTTGTTAGAAACAGGGTCTCACTGTGTCGCCCAGGCTGGAGTGCAGTGGCATGATCATGGCTCACTGCAGCTTCGACCTTCTGGACTCAAGCCATCCTCCCACCTCAGCCTCCCAAGTAGCTGGGATTACACGCACACACCACCACGCCCATCTGCTCCTAGTTTTTTTCTAGATAAGCAACCTGAGACACAAAGGATAAGCATTAGCAGCTCATACACGTGACAGAGCCAGATTCAGCCTTGGCCTGACTGATTTCCACATCCAGAATTCCCCTCATATAGGGAGATAGAAATCTCAGGATCTCAACAAGGTACAAATAACGCACATTCCCAGAACATAGAGCCAGGGACAGTCCCCTCTCAGTTCTCTTCTAAAGGTGGTTCTGGCACAACAGTTGATAAAGCTGTGTCCCTGAAGGGCTTTTTAGCCCTGGGTGCTTCCTGTAAAACTT
The DNA here is from genome assembly GCF_000001405.40 of Homo sapiens. Lineage (NCBI taxonomy): Eukaryota > Metazoa > Chordata > Mammalia > Primates > Hominidae > Homo > Homo sapiens. The sequence goes on from NW_011332696.1 coordinate 434,438, forward strand.
GTCAGCTTCCACTGGATCTGCGGGACTGTGTCCCTCACAGGCTGGACACCCGGCCCTGCGGAGAGGACTTGATTAAACAAGGTATAATGTACTTCTCTTTCCCATCCACAGATGGATCTGTCTGTAGAAACTCTGTTCAGCTTCATGCAGGAGCGCCAGAAAAGATACGCCAAGTATGCCGAGCAGATCCAGAAAGTGAACGAGATGTCCGCCATCCTCCGCCGCATACAGATGGGCATCGACCAGACTGTGCCCCTGCTGGACAGGCTCAACAGCATGCTGCCCGAGGGCGAGCGGCTGGAGCCCTTCAGCATGAAGCCCGACCGCGAGCTCAGGCTGTAGCTGCTGCCCGGCCTGCCTGGGGCTGGGAGCCCCAGACACCGACACCCTGAGGACGTGTGGAGCTAAGGTCATATCATCTGACCAGGTCTGGAGGCTGGCGGGAGGCTCCCTGAAAGTGGGTGCGAAGGAGTCCGGCTGGCATGAAAATCTGACTTTGCCCAGCTCTTTTCCTTGATGCAGTTTCCCGGTGTGGAAGGAACCTAACCAGTTCTCGGTGATAACTGAAGCTGGAACGTGTGAATTATTAGGAATTCTTTGAAGAACTCTGCATTGAGAATTATTTTTATTTAGTTTTTTTTTTTTTTTAATTGAGAGTATATAGTCCAGTCCAGGTACCGGAATAAAAATATGGAGACAAGGGGAAAATATTTTACGAAGCTCTGTGTTCTCAACGCCCTCATGAACTTTTCAGTAGGCTGTCTGGTTTATGTGTGGTCAACTTGAAAAACTAATTGAATCTAGGTCTCTGTATTGTTCCTGTTTCTACCCTGACTGTTTCCGTCACACCAAGCCCTTATCTGGGGCGCGTCTTCCTGCCCAGGTGGAACACTGGCATTTTGTTGACTGTCAGGTTAGGTGTCCCTTAGTCGTCATCAGAAGCTGAAGCCTTCCTTTCCACACCCTCATCAGATTCATCTCCACTGATAACCGGTTTCCTTGATGCAGACATAGTTTAGCTTTCTTTGACTGCAGAGATGTCTCATTCCACAGACATTTCTTGAACCCATTTGATGTGTCCAATATTGTGCCAGGGATACAAATATGGCCGTATAGCCTCAGGCCTTCATTTCTGAAAAGAAAAAAGCTCAAAAAGCTGCTGAATTTCTCTGGGAGTTTAGGAAAGGAAGTTATTTGAGTAACAACAAAAGTGCTTAGTGTCGTACTTTACACATCATAGGTGTTCTAATGGAAGCAAGGACTGGAGAAGCAAAGAGTGGAATGTGAGGAGCAGACCTAGGCAGACACCTTGAGACTAAAAGTCAGAGCTGAAGGGAGTCGCTGGGGCCAGGACGGCATGCAGGCCTGTACCCTGTTCCCTAAGTTCCTGCAAGCGTCGGGAGGTGTGTTTTCAGATACCAGAAAGAGCCTTCAGTAGATTCACAAGATTAAAATTGATGCGCTTAATTTAATGTATCTTGGCTAAACTTGATCTGATTCTAATCTTGGTTTGAGACAGGGTCTTGTGCTGTTGCTCAGGCTGGAGTGCAGTGGCGCAATCATAGCACACTGACTCCTCAAACTCCCGGGCTCCGGGGATCCTCACGCCTCAGACTCCTGAGTAGCTGGGATTACAGGTGTGTGCCACCAAATCCAGCTAATTAAAAAAAATTAATTAATTTTACATTTTCAAATTCAAAAGAATAATACAATGAATATTCATATTTCTTTCACCTAGATTGACAAAAAGTGGTATATTTAAGACATCACCATCATTGTCTTTCTTCTGGAGTATACAGAACCTGGTTCTGAACACAGGGATATGTTTGTAGCTTCGAGGAATGAAGGGCTGTTTACAGAGCTACAAAAATAGCTTAGGTGCCATTATCCTCACTGCACTTAATACAGGTGACACATGAAAGCACAGAGTGGGTGGCAGTTCAAGCCTGCGAGGGCCGAGCCTTTCCACTGCTGCAGCTGTTAGTGGCTGGCACAGGGCAGGATGGCAGACCTAGTGCAGCACAAACAAACCACGCAGTCAGCCAGCTCTCCAGCCAACTGTGTCTACTTCTAAAGTAGAAGTTAGACAAAACATGGGGTTCACTTAGACTGGGGTCCTGAGTAGGTGATAGGCTACTTATTACTGGGTGGAAGCGGAGAAGTATGGCAGAAGAACAATAGGCAAATTCAATACTCCCGGAAAGAATTCTAGTTAGTTTAATATTTTGATGGCATGTTGTGGTTTCTGCAGTGTCGTGAACTTGGCTAAACTGAACTGTGTTCCCAGAATTCCCTTCCTTGTTTGTTTCTCTGGTGAGGGTTGGCCACGAGAGAGATTTGCATGAGGTTTGGAAGTGGAAGTAGAGCAACAGCCATGTGTATTCACTGGAAGTGGATGTAGGTCAGGCCCTGTTCCATCACGTGCACGTTACCATGGATCTCCTGCACTTGTGGTGTGGGCAGCCGCTGGGCCCACGGCTCCTCCCACTCCCGCAGAACTCTGCCTTTGGCTTTTCCAGACCCTGGGCCGGGTATGAGAACCAGCTTCTTGGTCTGCAGCCACAAGGATGAAGGTTTGGGGATGAGAGACCAGCACGGGCTCTGATGAGAGACAGGTGCAGGTCCCAGCTTGTGGCTTGCAGGTCTCAGTCGTACTTGCTCTCCCTCACCATCCTTTCCAACCGCCTGGCCTGTGGTCTGGTGAAGAAGAAACAGCCGAACCGAGACTTTCACCAGCCCCTCTAATTGCTCAAACCGCTTTCACAATCCTCTCTTTCTACATCATTCCTAGTGGTTCTTTTCTGATGGAACCTCTGACTGGTAACATGGCATTACCAGTCCTTTCCCTCTCATGTTTTGCTATTTCCTGATGGAACCTGGGAGTCTGAGTGATTTGTATTTCAAGAAGCAGTTATGCTGGATCTCTTTGTTGGTTAATACCCCATGACCTATCTGGCCGTTATGGGATATTTCAGGGATAGGAGTTGTGAAAGAGCCCTTGGCTGGACGTTTCTAGCCTTAATCTTTGGCAAGCCATTTCATTTCCCTGAGCCTCAGTTTCCGCCTTCCTACAGCGTGAGCAGGTCTGGGTGGGCTCTCAAGCCCCTTTCAGCTCTAAGATTCCAAGTCTGTGATTCCGATACATCTTGACTACAATGAGCGTGTTTACCTTTTGTCTCTGAGCAGTGGCCCTGGGTCTTGGTAGTGACTAAATTCCGAGCTCCCAAGGTGCAGCTGCTTTTCTTCCTTTTAATTATAAATTAGCTGTTCATTGGCTGCTTCTTTCTAGAGCCTGTTTTGCTTATCTTGCAATCTGTTCATTTCTGTTGATGAACACAGTCAAATAGGCCTCTATGTGCAGTCTCCTGGTTTCCCTGGTCAAAGTGGAAGGTTGGTAGAAACTGGCCTTCATGTCTTTGTTTCCCTCAAAGTTTTATTCTTAGTAACGCTATATATGGTTTTATAGACCACACATATATAGTTTCCTGTGTCTTAGATGATAACATCCTTAAAATATGAAATATATTTTGAACCTAGATACCTACCCAGTATTCTCTGCACAGAGTAAACATTTCATTAAATGAGTTTCAAGGACTCCATACCCTGATATAGGAGTACATTCAAGAAATGAGTTTAGGCCGGGCGCGGTGGCTCACACCTGTAATCCCAGCACTTTGGGAGGCCGAGACGAGTGGATCACCTGAGGTCAGGAGTTCCAGACCAGCCTGACCAACATGGTGAAACCCCATCTCTACTAAAAAAAATACAGAAATTACCCGGGCATGGTGGCTGGTGCCTGTAATCCCCGCTACTTGGGAGGCCAAGGTGGGAGAATCGCTTGAACCTGGGAGGCGGAGGTTGCAGTGAGCCAAGTTCGTGCCATTGCACTCTGGCCTGGGTAACAAGAGTGAAACTCCGTTTAGAAATGAGTTTAGTCTGGGAGAATCTGCTTTTTGAGTAAAAAAGTTTGATTTTATGTATGTGTGCGTCTGTATATATGTTTCTGTATCCTGAGTATTTCTTTGCGGCTTCTTCAGTTATGAAAGAGGTTGGTACTGTTACCCTTACGTTATAGGTATTACAAACTCGGTTTTACAAGGTTACATAAACTAATGGCCCTGGGGCGAATGACGTATGCCACTTTTGTGTTGATTTGTAGAACTTACTTAGCTTTGGCATTTCCCCTAGTAATTCCCAAGGCAAAACCAGGAATTGTCAGAGACGTGACCAGACATGTATTAAAATTCTAGTGCAATTGGGAAACTTGGTCTTCCTGATTTGTTTATACTTCAGCCAAACCCAGATATATAGTGCTCAGCAGAAATTATTCAAAATGTTGATACTCAAGATTGAAGGATGGATTAGGGAGAAATGAAAACTTTTCTTCTTGTGGACTTTTTAGGTATGAAATTTAATCACGAGAGTAGTTTTGCTTTTCTTTCCCTGACCTTTCGCTTCATTCCTTTGTTAAGAACTATATAGTGCCTCTGAGGAGGTGGCATTATTGTTCACTAACTTACCATAAATCAGGGGTCTCCAAACCCCAGGCCACAGACTGGTACCCATCTGTGGCGTGTGAGGAAGTGTGCTGCACAGCAGGAGGTGAGCGGCGGATGAGCAGGTGAAGCTTCACGTGTTGTTGTTGTTGTTTATTGAGATGGAGTCTCGCTCTGTTGCCCAGGCTGGAGTGCAGTGGCACGATCTCGGCTCACTGCAACCTCCGCCTCCCGGGTTCAAGCAGTTATACTGTCTCAGCCTCCCGAGTAGCTGGGACTACAGGTGCCCGCCACCACACCCGGCTAATTTTTTATTTTTAGTAGAGATGGGGTTTCACCATGTTGGCCAGGCAGGTCTCAAACTCCTGACCTCGTGATCTGCCCGACTTGGCCTCCCAAAGTACTGGGATTACAGGCGTGAGCCACTGCACCTGGCCAGCTTCGTGTGTATTTATAGCTGCTCCCCATCACTCACATCACTGCCTGAGCTCCACCTCCTGTCAGAACAGACCCAGCATTAGACTCCCCTAAGAGCGTGAACCCTATTGTGAACTGCGCACGTGAAGGATCTAGGTTTTGCGCTCCTTATGAGAATCTAATGCCTGATGATCTGAGATGGAACGGTTTCATCCAGAAACCATCCCCCTGCTTCCCTGTCTGTAGAAAAATTGTCTTCTATGAAATGGGTCCCTGGTGCCAGAAAGGTTGGGGACTGCTGTCATAAATAACATTGAATTTCATGTGGGTTTTTTTTTTTTGACACACCAGGCATGTCTCTTCCATTCAAATGCTATGGCTACAGAGGGAAAGGGTAGCCAGATAATTATCCACATGCTTCAAACCAAAAAGATAAAAAAGTTGGCAACTAGATCTAGTTGCCTGCCAGGATGACCAGCGTTATGCTGGTGTGTGCGTGTCCATGCCTCCGGGATTTTTCCAGGGTTATCAATGTCAGTGTAAGATCTGATGGAATTTACCGTTGACTCAATTTTCTTCACCAATCAAGGCTCATTCCTTGAGGCATGAGTTATGCGAAAAGCTTTTCTGCACCAAGTACTTTCATTCTGGTCTTTGGAATTGTCATAATTCTGACAGAGAACACAGACCATTACTGAATGCTCTTCAGGTTACCCTATTTGCCTGTCACATTGCTTCTACCGGCCACATCCTGCATTTCCTGTGGGACAGCATTTTCAAACGGATTCTAGTGTTTGAGCTGGAACCAAAAGAATGAAACTGTTTTTACATAAGTGCATATTGCTGTCTCTGCAAATAAAGTACAACAATATGACTGACTTGTAAATATCTTCCAGGACAATGCTGTGATTTTCCAGTTGATTCTGCAACTTTAAAGATATAACCAAGTATAATTAGGCCGTTCAAGGATGAATGGGTCCCACAGAAGCTAGAAATAGTTTACTTCCTGCTTCCATTTCTAGATGCAGAAGACTAATATTCACAGAAAAATTACGTAGACAAATTTTGTTTACTAGATCTAAAACATTCCTGCTTCTCAGAAAAACAAAACCAAAGGAGTATTTAAGATAAAGTAACAGTGAACGTGTTGAGACTAAAAAGTTTCCATCAACTAGTCCCATATGCACCCTCTACCCTTCACATAATCTCTTTGGACACTCGGCTCCAATTTTGTCTTATTTTTCTTCACATCTCAATCTACACCTTCCTAATATGTCCGGAATTGGTGGATTCTTGGTTTCACTGACTTCAAGAATGAAGTCGCGGACCCTCACAGTGAGTGTTACAGTTCTTAAAGGCAGCGTGTCCGGAGTTTGTTCCTTCTGATGTTCGGATGTGTTTGGAGTTTCTTCCTTCTGGTGGGTTCGTGGTGTCGCTGGCTCAGGAGTGAAGCTGCAGACCTTCGCGGTGAGTGTTACAGCTCTTAAGGCAGCGCGTCCAGAGTTGTTCATTCCTCCCAGTGGGCTCGTGGTCTCGCTGGCTTCAGGAGTAAAGCTGCAGACCTTTGCGGTGAGTGTTACAGCTCATAAAAGCAGTGTGGACCCAAAGAGTGAGCAGTAGCAAGATTTATTGCAAAGAGCGAAAGAACAAAGCTTCCACAGTGTGGAAGGGGACCCGAGCGGGTTGCCACCGCTGGCTCGGGCAGCCTGCTTTTATTCTCTTATCTGGCCCCACCCACATCCTGCTGATTGGTAGAGCCGAGTGGTCTGTTTTGACAGGGCACTGATTTGTGTGTTTACAATCCCTGAGCTAGACACAAATGTTCTCCAAGGCCCCACCAGAGTAGCTAGATACAGAGGGTTGATTGGTGCATTCACGAACCTTGAGCTAGACACAGGGTGCTGATTGGTGTGTTTACAAACCTTGAGCTAGATACAGAGTGCCGATTGGTGTATTTACAATCCCTGAGCTAGACATAAAGGTTCTCCAAGTCCCCACCAGACTCAGGAGCCCAGCTGGCTTCACCCAGTGGATCCTGCACCAGAGCTGCAGGTGGAGCTACCTGCCAGTCCCACGCCCTGTGCCCACACTCCTCAGCCCTTGGCTGGTTGATGGGACTGGGCGCTGTGGAGCAGGGGGCGGCGCTCGGGGAGGCTCAGGCCGCACAGGAGCCCACGGAGTTCGGGGAGGCTCAGGCATGGCGGGCTGCAGGTCCTGAGCCCTGCCCTGTGGGAAGGCAGCTAAGGCCCTGTGAGAAATTGAGCACAGCAGCTGCTGGCCCGGGTGCTAAAAGCCCCTCACTGCTCGGGCGGTGGGGCCAGCTGGCTGCTCCGAGCGCAGGGTCCGCTGAGCCCACGCCCACCTGGAACTCGCACTGGCCTGCAAGCACCGTGCGCAGCCCCGGTTCCCGCCCATGCCTCTCCCTCCACACCTCTCCCTCCACACCTCCCGGCAAGCTGAGGGAGCCGGCTCCGCCTTGGCCAGCCGAGAAAGGGGCTCCCACAGTGCAGCGGCGGGCTGAAGGGCTCCTCAAGTGCCGCCAAAGTGGAAGCCCAGGCAGAGGAGGTGCTGAGAGTGAGTGAGGGGTGTGAGGGCTGCCAGTGCGCTGTCACCTCTCACTAATTTCCCCTTAGTTTATTTTTTGTTTAAAATGGAGTTTCGCTCTTGTTGCCCAGGCTGGAGTGCAATGGCGAAATCTTGGCTCACTGTAACCTCCACCTCCTAGGTTCAAGCAATTCTCGTGCCTCAGCCTCCCAAGTAGCTGGGATGACAGGCACCCACACCTGGCTAATTTTTGTATTTTTAGTAGAGAAGGGATTTCACCAGGTAGGCCCGGTTGGTCTCAAACTCCTGACCTCAGGTAATCCACCTGCCTTGGCCTCCCAAAGTGCTGGGATTACAAGCGTGAGCCACCGCCCCCAGCCTCCCCTCTTAGTTTAATTCCTGGTCTAATTGTAGTTGTCACATCCAAACCAGTCCTCCAACAATAGCCTGCTGAGGCTGGTCATGAAGGGGCTCCGAGCACTGTCAGCAACTGGCCTGAACTTCAGGCTCTCCCAAGATCTGCATCTTCTCATTGGAAGCCTCTCACTGAAACAACTGTTCCTCCTGTTACCCTCTATCTCTGGAGGCTGATTTATTCTAATTCCCTTTATTCCTCTATCTCACTTCCACCTCTTTTTCTGCAGGGTCCTGGCCAAGATAGCTCTTCTAGTCTAGCTCACCCGGCCCAATCTTTCTTATAAATTTTCTTAAATGTAACTTCAACTCAACCAACTTCAAGGTCACCTGTGATTCTTTCTGTAGTCAATATTCCATCTGTTTGCACTGAAGCTTTATTCCTTCAATGCCTAATTTTTATGAAACTGATGAGACTAAGTTTCTAGTCTCATAAGTCATCAAATCTAGTGTCATGAGCAGAGAGGTTGTTGAGATGTATGTGGCAAGGACAAAGGACAGCTCTTCAACAATTGCCCTTCCTGTTTTTCCTGTAGGAATCGTAACATCATTTACATGTTATATCGAAATGGGCCATGTGTGTGTAGCTGGCCTTTTTTTTCCTACCATGTACTTGTGTGTTCTGGAATCAGTCAGCTAGAAAATATTTACCAAGTGTCTTAGGCTTTTTCACTGTAGTGTGCATTTAACGTACACAGTAAAGAATGAAGGCTGGCACTAAACTGTTAGCTAATCATCCGGTGTTCCATGTGAATGACAGAACACGGAATAAACCTGATGACACCACCACTTTATTTTGAGCTAAATCCTCATTTAAGTGAGAACAGGACAGGTTTCACCACTGCCTCCTTTGGCAACTTGAGTGGTGGTGTTCCCACCGAGTTTATGGCTGCAAAGATAGGTCTTTTCTCGTATTTATGTATAAACAGGTACCAGTTTTGATTTTATTTAATCATTTCATACATTAACATACATGACACATCAAAATGAGAAATGCACAGTTTAACCGTTCAACAGCTGGCCTTACTTCAAAAGAACACTATATTCATATTAAACATTTACAGTCTTTCCATCTAACTTTACACATGTCCTAAATCATTTTCCAGCACTTCTCACATAGAAGTCTAGTTTTGCTCTTTAAAATCACCATCTGTATCACCCCTAGTAGACGCGAGGGTTTCCCCAATTACATGCTGAAGAGAGCCAGCCACCACCCCACCTAAAGACATCCAAGCAGCTCCAGAGCCTGCCTCCGAGGCCACCCCTTCGCCACGGCAGTCTCGATTCCAAGAACTGATTATCTGACACTAGTGAACCAGCACTAAAGGCTGTAGGATGTGACTACATCACAGTTCCAGAAGGAAGGGGGACCATGGCCAAGAGAAGCCCTAAATGACAGAAGCTCATTAAAACCAAGTCCCCCAAACCTCCTGAAACATCGTTAGCAAGGAGCTACTGCTTTCCTTTCTTAAACATGTTTTGGGCATGACCACACTCTGGAAGTGGTGAACTGTTACACATTTGGTGTGTGTGTACATAACATCAAAAACTACTGTGTGAAACTTGAGAATGTCTGATTAAAGATTTCAATGTATATCTAAAAACTAACTCAAATCGTTGACCAGCACTTTCCCAGTATCATAACAATGCGGCTGACCCTCTTCTGCCTTCACTTTACACCCCATCATAGCACATTATTTGTGCACAACTAGTGAGGTCTGTGCGGCTCATCATCCCCATAACCAAGTCGGTCTGTGTTGAGTCATATCATTCTGTGCTGGTTTTAGAAGTCACCATAGGAAACATGAAGTCACATCCTGGTCAAAAAACTGTCCATTTCTCAAAAACAGAGAAAAACCTGAGATACGAGGCAGCAACTAGCGACACTTACAGGAAGGGAAAGAACAATGACAACACCCGCCCAGCCCCACCCCCAAAAAGCTGCTGTTGTGAATTAAGGCTTCAAAAGAGGACCCACATTGTAGCTGATAAAACTCAAGCCAGGAGGATGTTTGAAAGCCAATCTGCACTATCACTTGTTCCAGTGACCTCCTATGTTCAGCTGCCAGGACCGATTCCATACAGTGATTGTAGGTTGAGGACTGAGGACGCCCCTTTGCTCTCGCTCCATTTTGATTTGCTTTTTCCACTGAAGACACGCCGGCCAGCGTTTCCAAAAACAGCTTGGCCATGGCTTTGCACTCTATTCACAACTGATCAAAACTCAATGGTCTTCTCAGCTTTCTCAACCGTTTTATTCTGAATATTCCTTCCTCACTAAAGCCTCTCTCAGCCCTACTAGTAAATGTGAAAGTCTGAGGCAATCATAGAAACATCAGCCCCATCGCATGCCGAGGGGATAAAAGCCACTAAGGAAACAGGTTTCCTGCTTCTCCTCAGCAATTTGTACCTTTCTTAATCTTCCCATAATTTACCTCCCTAGGAAGTTTCCTATAAAATTCTGCCATATTATTACATTTTACCAACTGTATCCATGCAGTGAAGCAGAAAGGGCAAAAACATCTGCTTTGGCTGAGAATTTGAAGGTGCTGCTGCTCTGCTACCAACCCAAATAAATTCACATTTGGCTTGAAACCAAGTTCATCTTTATTTAAAGGATTGACAATCCCATTTTAAACAATTCTTTGATTTACAAAGAGGGAGGTAGACTCGTTAGCCTCCCAACCTTAGCTTAAATCGTGATGTTGCCAGGTTCCTGGTGGTTCAGCTGAATCCTAGACAGTTTCCCTTCTCTTCATAAAGCTGAGAAGAAAAAAAAATTATCTCCATCTAGGCCCACGGGAATTTTGTGCATAGACAGTTTGAATTGGTCTGAAAAGTGTGACTAGCTACCTACCTATTCACAATGCCTAGAAAATGGGCTACCAGATATGGTAGTGGTCAAAGCCCCGACTTTCCTGTCTGAGGTACTGGGTTTGCTCTAAGGTAGACCTTGGCAAGGCCCCTAATGGTCCGTCCAGCAGAGTGATGCTCGTGTCCCTCGGCTGTCAGGTGAGCGTGGGTTTGTGAATCAGCTTTGGATAGGATCATTTCTCTTGGATTTACCACTAGGCTCTGTCCCTAACAGGGTCTACCTACCTGACCCCCAAGCTGGCTCAGTCTCAGCGCTAAGGTGTACTATGGAAGGGTCCGGACAAAGACTAATATTTGAGATCTCTTAGTAGCACAACGTGAAAATGGTAGGGGATTTTGTCCTCCAACACCAAAGACACTTGCTTTTTTAAGAACAAGAGGATGTGTAATTCACTGAATAAAATGGTTTTCCTCCGTCTAGGGGGGATTCTAGCATCTGCCCTTCCATTTTTGTTGAGAGAAGTATTAGCTGATCTCTCAAATGCAGATGTTAAGAGAGTAACAACTGGGTTGATCCACCTGTTGCTTTTACACCATAGCTCCATTTTCCAAAAATATATATGTATGTACATATATATATTTCAGATTTACAGGGAATTTTTTTGTGAACAAGAAAAAAAAATTGTCTATAGAAGTCACAAGTGTCTTTCTTCTCAGGAGACCTCAATGATTTCCATGCTGCCCGAAAAGCTAGACTGACTGCCCACTTTCCCCAGCTCTTCCCGTGACCTGTTCTCTGACATGATGCTCTCTCCAAATTCCATTTGGCAGCTTCTGCGTTTAAACTGCTTTTCAAAGGGGCTCTCTTCATGCCAGCTCCGCCGCGAGTCAGCTCTGTCACTTGGCTTCTGCCGCCTGCGCACAGAATAGACTTGGTCTCCGCAAGTGGGCAGCTGGCTGCAGCTGTAGGCAGAGTAACTGGCACTGCCTCCGTAGATGGCTGAGGCAGAGTAGAAGTGTGAGGACTCTGTGGCAAAATACCAGCTGCTGGTCAGGGAAGGGGTAGAGGTCTGGGGGGCCAAGATATCCGAGTGCCAGCCCTTAAGGCCCAGGCCAGCAGACTTCGTGAGGTGCTGCTGGCTGGTGGAAAGGCCGAAAAGGAAGCTGGTGTGGTAATTGTCCTCCACGCTCCCACTTCGATGCAGTGGAGATAAAAGGGACCTCTGGGCGGTGCCACTGCTGCTGGTTCTGACCGAATGCAATCGCTTGCTCTGGCTGTCTGAAGGCCTGGCGGTCTGCAGCTTCTTGGGGATGCTGGCTTCCTCCTTATCAGGACTGGTTTCGGGAGTCTGCTCCGATAGTTCCTGAACAGGGGAGAACTGGCATAGCTTGTTGGTCCCATCCAGAGTAGTGGAAGGTTTGTAGTATTCCAAAGCATCTTCTGATGAGGAGAAGCCATGTAAGGATGCTGCCATGCTGGCTGAATATGAAACTGATTTGATATCCAGAGAGAAGGAACGCTTGAGCTTATTGCTGTCTTCCAGCCTGTCTGCGGACAGGTGCAGCCCACTGAGCGCCTGTACCAGCGGGCTGTCCTCTAACAGCGACGGCTGCACGCTGGGCACGCTGGGCACGCTGGCGGGATGCACGGGCCTTTGTCCTGCTGCCTCTGAGGTAGCAGAGTCGGCACAGGGTGGACTGAGGGGCGTCTCGCTTTTCTGTCCACCCTCTGAGACAGCAGGGACAGGTTCATTTGGCTTCTCCAGGTGCAGCAGCTTGAGTTTGCTCTTTGGCCCTGATGCTCCAGTCTGGTTCTTAATCTTCTTCTCATAGTCCAGGAGTTGGCCCAGAAAATTGAAGTTTGGAGATATAGTAGGTCTTTTTTCTTTCACAAATCTGCAGAGAGAGGAAAAAACAAAAACCCGAATTTTACAACTACACTTTATCTTAAGAATATTAAGTGAATAAATGAGATAGGGAATTATCAGGCAGACCTCAAAAACTTTGGAAGATGATTGGTTTACAAGTTCGGGGAGATGCTTCAAGGTGGAGAATACAAAGGCCCTAGGCACTGGGGAAGCTTTGCACACATCCTGGAGTATGCCAGAAGAGGCAGCTGGGCCCCAAAGGCTCTAGTTTTTGTCTCCTTATTTTCAAAGGCCCAGGGCTCCCAATGCAGCTGATAAGAGATGGTATGGGGTTTTGTTGGTGGTGGTCTTTTTTTTTTTTAAGAGACAGAGACTTGTTCTGTCGCCCAGGCTGGAATACAGTGGCATGATCATAGCTCACTGCAGCCTCGAATTCCTGGGCACGTGCAGTCCTCCCACCTCAGCCTCCTGAGTAGCTGGGATTACAGGACTACACGCTTGGCTAATTTTAATTTTTAAAGTTTCTTTTGTAGAGAAAGGGTCTCACTGTGTTGCCCAGGCTGGTCTTGAACTTCTGGGCTCAAGTGATTCTCCCACCTTGGCCTCCCAAAGTGCTGGGACTACAGGTGTGAGCCACCATGCCTGGCCAAGAGATGATTATTTATTCACCACCAAGGACACCCCTGACACACACACACCAGTGCTACCATCAAAAGTACAGTATAACAGCCACTCTCCTTCTTCAATTTCCAATGTCATCCCCTCTTAAAGTCACCAGTCACTTCTCAAGACAGTTCACATTTTAAATTTAATGACAAAAAGAAGATGGTATCAGATGATCAAAGTATCAAAGCAACACTTCTTTTTATAGTCAACATGACAGACTAACCAAGACAAAGTGGTCTCTGTGTGCTAAGCACTGTGCTTATGCACTGAATCATCATTTCATCCTCAGAACTACCCTTTATCAGGTGGGTGTCATTATCCCCATCATATAGCTCCACAGAATCCTTAAGTGACTTGCCCAAAATCACACAGCTACTAAATGATGGTGCTGGATTCAAAACCAGGCTGGTCAAATATCTGGGTCCATTTTTGTAACCACTATGTTAAAAAAAAGATTCATCAAAGGATCAAAACTAATACTAGATGGCTTTCATGTTTCATGGAGGAAATAAAGACTCAGAGATGACAGACCAATTCTTCAGCGGCCCCTGCACCTCATGGATACTTTTCAGGTGATGGAGGAGTAGAACTACACTGAAAATTTGCATTTGAATAAGGAACAAGGAAAAAAAAAACTTGGAAATCAAGTAACCTAAAGCAAATTCACAAAAATAGAAATAACTGGCTCAAGAATAACAAGTATAAATGTAGGGTGCTCATAATGAGACTTCATAACGTGATAGAAGGGTGCCTTTTCTTCTGATTTCTACATGGAGCAGGAGGACCTCAGGGAGGTCTGAACGGCGGCATGAGAGCTCGTGCAGATGACCAGAGGACCCACGTCCTCCAGGCTGCTGACTTAACATGGGAAGCTGTTTGGGCAGCTCATTTCTGTTTTCCAAACTTTGCAATTTGAGAAAAAAAAAATCCAACTGTTAAATCAGGCCTGCTCCATGAGTCTCTATATTTTTGATTCCTTATCAGATAAAAATGAACCATCTCTACCCAACGATACATGCAGGGGAGTCAGACAAATCAGAGACTGGAGGCAACCCAGTCAAAATCACACACACACAATCTGGCCGACTCTAGAATGTAGGAAATTTTACTGAAGAATGGAGTCTGACAGTTAATCTGGTTCATATTTGCATTTATGAGGCTTTTTCTTCCCAGCAATCCAAAGTTTGAAGCAGAACAGAGATTCTGCAGTGAGCATTCTATTAGAGCTTCCCCCCATCATATGCAAATTAAAACAAAGGATACTTTTGCATTTAGGGAAAGCAATAAACTCATGTAACAGGATAGAGATCTCTGCCTGGATCTGTTGTTCCTTAAACATAAAAAGTGGCTGAGGATGAGTCTGACACATGTGAAGGCAGAATTAATGCTAAATAGTAAAACAGCATTCTTTTCCAATCTTCACAAGACCATTAAAAAATCCACAGTAACCTGTAAAAAATGTGACTAAAATAATCATGATCTGCTTTAATTTGGTTACCCATCCTCATCATTCTTTATGTTTCAGGTCAAATGAAAAGCCAATCACAGAAGACATTTTCCTGCCCTCACCTGTAAGCTTCATCTAAAGACATGTCCATCCTCTTCATGATGTAGGCGATAGCGATGGTGGCGGAGCGGGAGATCCCAGCTAAACAGTGCACTAGAACACATCCATTGGAGGCTTTTGCTTTCTCTGTATAAGTCAAATGCAAGAAAGGTCACTACTAACTATTTTGTTCAGCAGTGAAATCTTGTTTCCATTTACTTACTCAGTGTCTTCCACCTGAAAACCTCTACGCAAATCTCATCTGTGTATATCATATTTATCCTCGCAATATTCTTTTGAGGAGGCAGGGGAAGATAATTCCCTCACCACTGACATGCAGGACAACTGGGGTCCAAAACTGTTTGTTAATAAGCAATTCGTTAATAAGCAAGCTACTACTAACTCAGGTTTCCTGACTTATGTTAGTATTTTCCCCTAAGATATGGGTAATATTTAATATATTCCTGTTATCTGACACTTCAAATTTTTCCCTGATTACCTAAGAAATATAATTACATTTTTTAAAATCATTATTACTATTTTGAGATAGAGTCTTGCTCTGTCGCCCAGGCTGGAGTGCACGATGTCGGCTCATTGCAATCTCCGCCTCCCGGATTCAAGTGATTCTCCTGCCTTAGCCTCCAGAGTAGCTGGGATTACAGGTGTGCAGCACCACGCCTGGCTAATTTTTCTATTTTTAGTGGAGTTGCGGTTTCACCATGTTGGGCAGGCTGGTCTCTAACTCCTGGCCTCAAGTGATCCGTCCACCTCAGCCTCCCAAAGTGCTGGGATTACAGGAGTGAGCCACTGCCCCTGGCCTCCCTATTTTAAGCAACTTTTCTGTATGTCATAAAATGGCTCAACTTTATTTACTGAGTTTTAGAAGAAAACCTTGTATAGGCTATGAATCAGGTTTAGCAGGTCACTTTAATGAGATCCAAGAGAACTTTTATCCCTTCCTTGATACCAGGAGTTATTGTCTTATGGCATTATCTCAATTCCCCACAACATGATGGAAGGACTCACGGACACTTTGTTAGAACCAAAGAACCAAGGAAATCCAAGCAGTGCTGCCATCTCTCACTGCTGAGGGGCTTAACAATATGTACATGTGGCAGGGGACGAGGTTATTCCACACAGCCTGGAAGCTACTAACATTCTGGCCAGTTCCATGACTGCCTCAATTCTAAATAATTACATGTGTGCTCAGTCATGAAGCTGAATTCTCCCCTTTTCATTCTTGGTAGATACTACCAAAAGTCTACTGAACCTTGTGTTAAAATTCTTGCGATTAACAGATGCGCAAAGAATCTTACTTTGGCAGCTGAATAATACAAAGCTATTCAATCTCACTGCCTATGCTATAAATATAAGTTTCTAGTGTAATGATTATTATATATAACATAATTATTCATCATATATAAAGCAACATACAGGTTTTGGGTAGCATATGAATAATTAAGCAGCAAGCAGCTTCCCTTCTAGATCAGGAAACCAAACACAATAAAACACTAACAAATGAATACCAAGCAACACTCAAACAAAGAATTGCATGCTATACAAGTAAGAACATATAAACTCGTGTACACAGTCTCATGCCTTCCTGTGCCTCCAGCATCCCCTTCCTTCTCAGCTATCATTTACCCCACGTTACTCTCAGTGTTTCCTTCCCTTTCTGCCCTACTGCTAAGAAGCTCAAAGCTAAGGTTTCTACTCAATTTCAATAAGAAGTAGCAATTCAGACTTTTTGTCAGTTACTGTACATTTCCTAGCCCCTATTACTTGATTATTGCTCCTTTATACCATTATAATGTGTATGTGTGAGAATATGTGTATCTTTTGGTTCTAACCTATTATTGAAAACTGCTTCAAATCCTTACTGGAAGGAGTCTGGGTTTTTGTTTTTTAATGTTGACAATACTCTCTCATTAATTTTAATAATTATCTATCTCAAAACCTAGATTATAAGGACCTAGAAGGATCTTGCTTGCTTCTAACAATCCCCCAAAAGACTTAACGCTAGGCACATGGTAGGCATCCAGCTGATACTGGCTGATACATATTTTCAAAAGAGATTTTAATAAAAAAAGAAGAAGGCTGGAAGGAAATAAAACAATGACAGTAACATGCGTTACGATGTTGAGGTTATAGGTTTCCTTTTCTCTGTTTTTCAAATTTTCTGCAATGTGCTTACAACTGTTTTTATAACCACAACTCTTTTGATGACGTCTTTTAAAAATGAAAAAAACAAGTGACTATACTGGAGTTGAGGTTCACCAGCATGCATCTTGGGAGACATGAGCCCTAAACTGTGTCTTCAAGCAAAGGAATTAATTTAACACACACAACTGGCAGAGAGGAGAAGGGAAATGTGTGCGAGAAAGCCCTGCAGTGGGACTGAGCAAAGTGCTCATTCGAAAACAGCCTGCCTTGGAGAAGAAACCAGAGAGAAGGTTTGAGAAGGTTTCAAAGGTGGGAAGCAGGTGTTTGAGGGTGGTGGGAATGTTAGGCTAAGGGCTACATTTGTTTTTTCAGACAGGGTCTCACTCTGTTCATCCAGGCTGGAGTGCCATAGTGCAAACATAGCTCACTGTAACTGTGAGCTCCTAGGCTCAAGCGATCCTCCTGCCTCAGCCTCCCAGCTAGGACTACAGGTGCACACCACCATGCCTGGCTAATTTTTGAAAATTTTTTGTAGAGACAGGATCTTGCTATGTTGACTAGGCTGGTGTCAAACTCCTGGCCTCAAGCAATCCTCCCGCCTCCGCTTCCCAAAGTGCTGTGATTGATTACACACGCTGCACCTGGCCAAGGCTACCTTTTTAACGCAGAAAACTAAGAAGCCTCTTCA
Source organism: Homo sapiens (assembly GCF_000001405.40). Lineage (NCBI taxonomy): Eukaryota > Metazoa > Chordata > Mammalia > Primates > Hominidae > Homo > Homo sapiens. The sequence continues at coordinate 452,054 of NW_011332696.1, forward strand.
GGTTTCTGAATAAAGAACGAGAAGGCAATGATGATGAAAACTGGAAACAAGCAGGTGGCCATTACCGCAATTAAGGCTAAAATCTAGGTTAAGAAAGGGGAGAGAGAACTGCAAATGAAAAGGGCAAAGATGCAGTGAGGATGAGAAGTTACAAAAGCTAAAAAGAAGGAAGTAATACTAAGAGGTGTTACAGAGTCCAGCTCAAAGGACAGAAAAAAGGAGGAACTTCAGATAACAATTTTTAAAATACTTATTAACAGCCAATTATGAGTCAGGTACTTTACAAGGTGTTCAATGGACATTATCTATTTTACTTATTTTTATTTTATCTTTTTGGTTTACTTTTTTTCTTTTTTTTTCATTTTACATTATCTATTTTAATCCTCACAATATCCCTGTAAGGTAGGTATATTACCTTCAGTTTCCAGATCAAGAAACTGAAGTGCACAGAAGTTTGAAGTAACTTACTCAAACCACTTCACTAATAACCAGGGTAGGCAGGACTCAAATACAGACAGTTTGCCTCCAAAATACATGGTCCTAATCACCTCCCTATGTTGTGTCCATGCAGTCACGAGTTTGGCATGAGGAGAGCTGGAGGAAGAGCCCAGGAGACAGTGAAGAGGAAGCAAGAGGCTGTATATGTAGCCAGCTGGGTTTGGGGGCACCTCATGAGTATCCCATAGCACAAACGGGCAAACTCTGTTACTGGCACATTAACTAAAAGACAAAACTCCACATAAACCTGAGTCCTTCCAACCAACCCGGAGACTTACCCAAATCTAATCTAAATAACAACAACAAAAAAGAAAAAATCACTATGAGCCTGTAAGTCATTAAGGGGGTACATCTTCAAATGACATGCTATCACTAACCATGGCTTAAAACCCCACAGATCCCTAAAACTTAAAGTATAATAATAAATAAAAATAAAAAAATTTAAAAATTAAAAAAAAATTTTACATTTATCTTTAAGAATTTGTGTTTGAGAATAATTAGCTCTTGCCATTCTACTACTCTGTATGTATGTGGGTTATCATTCTTGTGTCTTTCTTCTGCTTGAGTAAATAAAAAGCAAGAACAACAACAAAAAACCCCACAGAGGAGAAGACTTAGCAATTGTAGTGAATATGGGCTGAATTCAAAAAGTGGCCTGGAGATTTTGCCTTGAATTACTTGGGTGGGATAAGGATGATGGCTCTAATAGAACCAAGCAAATGAAATACTGATAAGTATTTGCAGATATTACAAATAAATTATAATATGTATTTTGTGTGTATGTGTTTAACCAAGTTGCAAAGTAGTTAAAGTTCTTTTGTATGAATGAAAGTGGCAGGATGACCCCAATATCTTCCATGAAAGGAAAAAATAAGTTGGGAGCAAAGTTATTCATATTCTCTATTCTCTTCTCTTTTCTACTAAACTTTGTCTCCTAAAGCCCACACATTGTCATGACTTAAGAAAATCATGTTCTCTTCTAGGTAGATTTTGATATCTGATTTTTAGCTGAAATTAGAGCCAATGTCTCTGGAAGTGACGTGCAATGGGAACATTAACCGTAATTTATTTTTTTTATTTTTATTTTTTTTGAGACAAAGTCTCACTCTGTTGCCAAGGCTGGAGTGCAATGGCGTGGTCTCGGCTCACTGCAACCTCCACATCCCAGGTTCAAGAGATTCTCCTGCCTCAGCCTCCCAAGTAGCTGGGATTACAGGTGCCCGCCACCATGCCCGACTAATTTTTATATTTTTAGTAGAGACGTGTTGGCCAGGCTATCGCAAACTCCAGCAACCTCAGGTGATCCCCCCATCTCGGCCTCCCAAAGTGCTGGGATTACAGGCGTAAGCCACCATGCCCAGCCAATTGTTATTTTTTAAAGAGACAAAAACAATGATTTGCTGAATGTTTTTTAGAAGTACAATGGGAGGGTGTGTGTTAACTTGTGGGGGTTTGTTTGTGATTTTTTTTTTTTTTTTTGAGATAGAGTTTCACTCTGTTACCCAGGCTGGAGTGCAGTGGCGCGATCTTGGCTCACTGCAACCTCCGCCTCCTGGATTCAAGCAATTCTCCTGCCTCAGCTTCCCAAGTAGCTGGGACTACAGGCATGTGCCACTACGCCCAGCTAATTTTTGTATTTTTAGTAGAGGTGGGGTTTCACTATATGTTGGCCAGGCTGGTCTCGAACTCCTGACCTCAGGTGATCTGCCAGCCTCGGCCTCCCAAAGTGCTGGGATTACAGGCGTGAGCTACCTGGCCATTTGTTTGTGATTACTTTAATATGAACTAAGTCATTTATCTTCAGATGTTTCACAGAATGAATCCTAATTGAAGATGAAACCCTCAGCAACCTGGAAATCTTGAAAAAAAGGCAAGTGTTTTGGAATTACTTAAAGTTCCAAAAGCATTAAATAGAATATTCCCCTCACAGGTGAAAATTATAATATGGGGCTTAATATACATAATTCCACTTTTTGTTTTTGAGACAGGGTCTGGCTCTACTGCCCAGGCTGGAGTTCAGTGGCACAATCTCAGCTCACTGCAACCTCCGCCTCCTGGCTCAAGCAATCCTCCCACCTCAGCCTCCCGAGTAGGCGGGACCACAGGTGCACTGGTAGAGACAAGGTTTTGCTATGTTGCCCAAGCTGGTCTCGAACTCCTGGGTTCAAGTGATTGCTTGCCTCGGCTTGTTAAAGTGCTGGGATTAAGGCATAAGCCCCTGTGCCTGGCCAATTCCACTTTTTTTTTTTTTTTTTTTTTTTTGGAGACAGAGTCTCACTCTGCTGCCTAGGCTGGAGTGCAATGGTGCAATCTTGGCTCACTGCAAGCTCTGCCTCCCGGGTTCATGCCATTCTCCTGCCTCAGCCTCCCGAGCAGCTGGGACTACAGGTTCCTGTCACCTCGCCCAGCTAATTTTTTGTATTTTTAGTAGAGATGGGTTTTCACTGTGTTAGCCAGGATGGTCTCAATCTCCTGACCTCATGATCCACCCGCCTAGGCCTCCCAAAGTGCTGGGATTACAGGCGTGACCCACCGCGCCTGGCCAATTCCACTTTTTTGAAAGAACTAGTTCTTTTATTTTTAATTATGGTAATGGTAACCAATTCAGAGTAATTATGGATTAGGGTGCTCCAACTTATGTAACTGGGGGAAAAAAAATTCCTTACATGGAACATCAAGAGTCACTGTGGTATGTTGCTCAGGAGCTAGCAGTGTTTCTCCTCTGCTCAGCCACTGTCCACTAAAGCCACATTCCAAATACACATCACCAAGTTACCACCCAGCAGATCTGATCCTGTGGCACCAAAATGCCTCAGCAGTAAGTACCCAGGGGCCAGAGAAGCTCCAGAATTGAACAAGCCCAGGAAGCACAACAAAGTATGGCACAGATGAGATCCCGTCAAGACCATTGCCAGGAAAATAACCAAATGAGAGTGTGTGTGTGTGTGTGTGTGTGTGTGTGTGTGTGTGAAAATTCTGTTAGATCAAACACTACCTGAAATTATTGGCATGTGGACCCCGGCTCAGAAACACTGACATAAAGACTTAAATGTAATGGGATTTGTTTTCAAAAGATTTGACTTTTCTCTGTAAAAAACACAGCAACAAGGCAACAGGGAATATTACCAAAGTTTCCCAAAGGCTTGTATAGGATTTGAAAAAGTTGGGGGAAGAATTTAACCCTAAAAGCTTAACTGATTTTCAAACACCTGCAAATACATAATTACAGATCCTGTGAAGCTTAACCTTGGTGGTGTTAAATGTTAGCTAGAATGTCACAAGGCCAGTCCTTAGGGACAGTGTGACACACACGTCACCTTGACCACCAGATGAGTAAGCTGCACCACGTGCTGTTTTCAGACTTTTGAAATCTCTGAAATAGGCTCCTTTTCTCTAAAGAAAAAATGGGGGGCTGAGGGGGTTCACCTACACATGAGACGATCACCCACAGGACCTGCAATATTATTTGAGCTACTTACCAATGAAATCTACTGATTTGTCCAACCACGGCAAAATTTTCTCACAAAAGCTGTCATTCACAGGCACACGCAGGAAATGAGACTCGGGGATAAAGTCAGGCTTTGGACAGGTATTGCTGGCATTTAACACATAACCAATCCCATTCTGCTGCATCAGCTCCTATGGAGAGAAAGAGTAGCAGTTAAAGTGACTAATAATATAGTAAACATGATCATTCTGAAAGAGTGAAGTTTAATGTGATGATAAAAATGCCCAGTTTCCTTGAAATATAATTCATTCAGATCAGTGAAGTCCAAAAACCTAGCAAAATGACATCTAGAGACAAGTTTAAAGAAAAAAAAAAATTTAAGGACAACAAACGCTATTTAAAATAGTATGCTTGAAGCCCACACATCATTCATATAGTCAAGTCTCTATTATCTTCATTACTAGAGAGAGAAGTGGAACAAAGAATACAAAAGAAAACAACAGTTTATATGATTTTAGAATATATGGACACACAACATTTTCTTCCCACACGGAACACGCTGGTTCTCTAAGATACAATTCTAGTCATTCTTCTCACTCTAAATACTCTCTTTGAAGGCTGCACTTACTTCTGTAGTCTTAATTACCAGTTCTACATGCTGATGGCGTGTGTGTGTGTGTCCTCTTAAATTTCCAACCCGTATCTCCAACTACCTACTGACTATCAGGATGTTCCACAGGCCCTTCACATTCAAAATGTCAGAAACTAAACATATTCTCTTTTTCCCTTTTCTGCCCCCAACTCCTGCCTCCTCTCTGTAATCCCCAAATTGGTTTAGGGTAATAACATCGACCCAGCCAACTAAGCTCGAGAATAAAATGGGGCTCCTTTCTCTTCCCCATGACCCTCATCCAAATGGCTGCCAAATCCTTTTGGAATAACCTCTTCCATTGATCCTCTCTCCTCTCTATACCCATTCACTGCTCAGTAGCCAAGATAACCAAAAAAGCCACCAGGAGCTCTTGAAGTTTGCAGTGGTTTTCTCTCCAAACCATGTTCTGAACAACTAGAGGAATCTTTGTTATGATTAACCCCAAGCTGGGTGCTTTATCCACATTCTTTTCATTTCCTTGAGTCTCATTTCCTGCTCCTGTCCCATATAGCACCCCCAACGTCAAATGTATACCCACCCTCTGTTCACACGATTCCTGTGCTTAGAAGGCCCTGTCCTTCTTCCAGAAGACACTCTTCCCACTTTTCCTACTTTAACCTCATCTGTGAACTCTTTCCCACTCATGCATAATTAACCATTCAGTTCTCTGTCCTTCCAAAGTACTTTGTTCACACCATTAATTAAGCACCTACCATAGTGTGTTACCATTAACAGATAATTCTCATCTCCCCTGTTATGTAATGAAGTAATGAGTAAGATCTTGGACCGCGTCTTGTTTTTGCACCTTCAGCCCAGCTATAGAATTGCACTCAAAACAATCTGTTCAACTGACATCCATCCACCATTTAGCAGGCAAGCCCACACAAACCCGCTTCATTTAGTCATCCCCCTGCTGCCTCTCAGGAGACGTTCCAAGCCTGGAATAATTATCTTAGTCTAAGCAATCTTGGTCATTTCTTCCTTCTCTTGGAATACTACCTTTTCTACAAATCTTTTCCAACTACCTGAAAGAAAATGGGCAATTTTCTTCCTATATTACCCTTCTGAAACATGCCAGTTCCCTAATCTCTTCATTTACTACATTTGGCACAATAAATATACTTTATTTTACATAAAAGGTGAACAGCAGCCGGGCGCAGTGACTCATGCCTGTAATCCCAGCACTTTGGGATGGCCGAGGCAGGAGGATCACCTGAGGTCGGGAGTTTGAAACCAGCCTGACCAACATGGAGAAACCCCAACTCTACTAAAACTACAAAATTATCCAGGTGTGGTGGCACATGTCTGTAATCCCAGCTACTCGGGAAAGTTGAGGCAGAAGAATCGCTTGAACTCAGGAGGCAGAGGTTGTGGTGAGCTGAGATCGCGCCATTGCACTCCAGCCTGGGCAACAAGAGCAAAACTCCATCTCAAACAAACACACAAACAAAAAAGTGGACAGCATAAATCCAGATTGTGTATGCAACCATCTCTTATCTCTGAGATGACAATGTCAATAAACAGCTTTTGGAACTAGGTGGATTTCTTAGATTGGCCAACACCCTTCAGCTATGCCAGAGCCCAAGTCTTCTGATGGTCTCATGCTTCTGTTAGGTTAACAATCAGGCTACGTAGATCTTAATGGTATTTACTACAACCTTTAAACTTTTGTACATGTAGCAAAGGTTACATTTGTTTTTCTATGTGTGAACCCAAGGTGAGTTTATCTAGTACTATCTGATCAACAACAGGGTGCAGAAACTGATTCAGGATCACTCATGTAAGAACAGAAGTGGGTCACTGGAGTTAAATCAGCCTTTGAGGACTTTCTCACCAATAGTCCTTTCCACCAACGGTACTACATTTTTCTCCTTTCCACCAATGGTACTACAGATATGTTAAATTAAAAGTAAAGGAATTAGTAATATCCCTATCCACTCAATTCAATAATGAAGAAATTACAGAAGTTTCTGAGAAATGAGGTGACTCTAATAGTGTTACACACTGTACACAATCAAAAGACAACAGGAAATTCTAAGAGAAAACATGTTGCAAGTCAATAAGGACTGTCAAAATTGATTTTCCATAGAAAAAATACGATGTACACTTCTGACAAGTAAACTTAATAGCCTACATTTTAAAGAAATGACAACCTATATTAAGTCAAAAAATATTTATTGAGCACCTTTGTTAGAGACCTTTTAATTAGACAATGACACACGGTACTGATTAAGAAAATCATATCTAACATTTAATGAATGCCTACAATGTGCCAGGTACTGTATTAAGCATTTAAATGGACTGTCTCATTTAATTCTCACAACCACCCTTTGATGTGGGTTCAATTATTGACCTCCTGGGGTCAAGTGATCCACCTGCCTCAGACTCCTGAGTAGCTGGAACTACAGGCATGTGCCACTGCTCCCCTCAAATTTTTAAACATTTTTTTTGTAGAGACAGGGTCTCGCTGTATTGTCCAGGCTGCTCTCAAACTTATGGCCTCAAGCGATCCTCCTACCTTGGCCTCCCAAAGTGCTTGGATTATAGGCATGAGCTACTGTATGCAGCTAGTAAAATATTTTAAACGCAAAATGGACTGAGAAAAAATTAAATAATTTCAATGGCTTTATTTATAAAATTTTTAGCTTAAAAGGTCTATTGATTAAATCTACTATCCAGATGCTACCTGAAAATTTTTTTGGAATAGTAAGATGGGACTTGATAAATAAAACAAGTACAATTTGTAAAAACAAACAAACCAAAAACAAAAAAAAACCCTTAAATACTTAATATAATTTGGCTACTAAATTAAATATCATAAATAAGTGCCTTCTTATCTGGATTGGTAGTCAGTGGAAAAAGTCAGTTAAGGGGGAAATCATTAAAAATGATATATACATACTCGAAACATCATTTTAACTTAAAACAAATAAACATGCATGAATACACTGATTTCTGATGCAGGACCACAGCTTCTTGTTTTCTAGGTTAGCTGACTGGAGTTCGTAAGCAAATCACACCTAAGTGCATCTACCACTTCTACTTTTCATTTTTTAAAGAAGAGCAGGAACTTGTAAAACACTATCAGTGCCAAAGCCTTCTAGATTAAAACTGTCCCCCAAATACTTTACAGCTCCCTTATTCCCACCTAATTTGACAAACATATATATGGCAATCTGTCTTTCCTGAATCTTTCCAAAACACCTGACTTAGGTCACAGAAAAGCATCCCTCTTCCTTCACATTTCATTGGTGTATGTCCTATTTTAATTAACATACATAATTATAATAACAAGTCCAGTGGCCTAAAGTTCGAGAACAAACACAACTGATTCTTGGTAAGTATACTATTCAAATGGTGGAGGCAGACGTGCTACAGCAAAGAGCCCACTCATGCAGCAGGCATTCACCTTCCAAAGATGTGGGGAAAAGATGTCGTGAAATCTCTGGAGTCAGTTAAGAAAGTTTCTAAAGTTTCATGTAACTGTTGTTAGTTTGCTCTCTTGATTTTTTTAATTTTTTTTTTTTTTTACAAACTTCAATACAAATGGCTGGGAGGGGATCTTAATTTTTGTTGGTGTTTTTAAGACACAGGGTCCCACCATGTTGTCCAGGCTAACCTCAAACTCCTGGATTCGAGTGATCCTCCCGTCTCAGCCTCCCGAGTAGCTGGGATTACAGGCGTGTGCCACCATACCTGACTCATCTTATTGTTTGTAATGGTGAAACTGAGATGGAACTATAATTATGAAGAATGAGTCTGATTCTTTTGTGGAATAAGGATTGCTTTTATTTATAGATACGTATCAATGACTTCTTACTAAATTATAAAAAGATATTTATATAATTCATTCAGTTTAGTTTCAGCATGCTGTATAAAACATACACAACTGAATATTTACTCTGCCCTATAATTAAACATCATAATCTTTAAGCTTCTAGAGAGCAGTCACCATATGCTGTTAAATATTTAGCTCAACTTTGTGCTAAGTCTGCAAATACACACTTTCTACTGATTAGATAATCCTTCTTCACTGGCCTTCAAAGATCCTTCCAACACCTTGGCCTCACAGTTCTTTGAACTCCTCATCTTGGCCTCTCACTCTCATGAGATCTAGCCTGGTCTCTGTCATTACCAATTACCACAAACCCTCCATAATCTTGATTTCATGCACCCTTCCACTTTCCAGCTCACTCAAGATCTCTTATACTACACTACACCCAGAATCTGTAAACCCCTGCAGGAGGACCTACAGTCTGATGATCTACTAATTTTCTCTGTCCTTCATCCCCATGATGTCTGTCTGCCTTCCTTGCCCAATGTAAATTCTATAATCAGTTATTACAATCACTCCTTTCCTTTTACCCCAACTTCCTCTGCCCTCATCAATTGTTCGTACTCACTTGGCAAGATTACAACCCTAGTTAAGTCTAATTCTCCACCTAGTCAGCACTGCCCATGCCACTGAACATGGCCAGAGAAAAACACTCCACAATGCTACCTGATCTAACTTTCAATTCATACTCCTCAGCAATCTCTGTATTTCCCCAGTCCATTCACTTTTTCTCTTTCCCATATGCCATTCTGTTTCCCTTTTTCTTCAAACTCCCTATATGTCCCCACTCATCTTCACTCACAGCTGAAGAATGACCTTGCTTCCTACTACAATGGAAAAACTGAAACAGTCAGAGGCAAATTTTGATAGACTTCCATCACCACATTTACCCATCTCTCAGCAAATGCGCCCAGATATAATGCCTTCCCACCTGCTGTTTTGGGCGAACTGTCCATACTCGTAAGGCCAATCCCTCCGCTTGCTAAATAAATCCATCCCCTCTTGCTCAAGAACATAGCTTTGTGATTCTCCTTTCTCCTACATCAATTTTCCACTGTACAGGATCATTCTTCCTACCTGCAATCAAACAAACCATTATTTCTCCCACCTTAAAAATATCTCCTCTCAGCTTCGCGTCTCCCTCCAGCCATTACCCCATATCTTTGAAATTCCTTGAAAGAACCCCTTCTACTTGATATCTCCAGCTCCACTCCTCCTGTTATCTCCTGAACCCACTCCATTCAGGCTTTCACCCCCAACACTCTACCAAAACTGCTCAATGATCACCAGCGATAGTCATGTTGCTAAATCCAATGACCAATTCTCAGTCTTCATCTTTCTTGACCTAAAGTACTACTTGGCACACTCGACTGCTCCTTCCTCCTGGAAAACACGTTGTTTATTTGCCTCCCTGATTACTTGATTTCCTTCCTTCCTCAATATTTACTTCTCAATATTCTTTGTTGGGTCATTCTCAACTCCCCAGACTTTCAGGGTGGGAGTGCTCACGGCTCAATCCTTTTCTCATCTATATTTTGCCTCTTAGTAATTATCTGATCATCTCTTATGACATCAAGTACTGTCTGTATGTTAATGACTCCCACCTTTATACCTCCTCCTTCAGGGATCCCCCTGCCCCATTCATACATCCATCTGTCTACTCAACATCTCCACTTGGAAGTATAACAGGCATTTCGAACTCAGCGTGTCCAGAACTGACTCCTGCCCTTCCTACAGACTCCATCTCAGTTAATGGCAACTGCATCTCCGAGTCTCCTTGACACCTCTCTTTTTCACACACCCCTACCATCCAATCCTATTGGCTATACCTTCAATATAGAGCCCAAATCTCACCATTACTGCCACCTTGACTTCAACACATTACCATGGAGCCTCCTAACCGGCCTTCCTGCTTCCATCCAGTAGGAAATTCAGGCTATTTTCAACACAGAAGCTAAAGTGATCCTAACAATGTAAGTCAGATTATGTTGCTCCTCTGCTTGGAACCTTCCAATGACTCCCTCTGAACTCTTTTTCTCAGAGTAAAAGCTCCCGTCTTTCCAAGTCCTATGCAGAAATCTTGTATTGTCTGGATCTGCTCCTGTTACCTCTCTGACGACACTCTCCCATGCTCACTCTGCTCCAGCCACACTGGCCTCGCTCTTCCTTTAGCATACCACATGTGCTTTGCCTTGGTGGCTTCTTCTGCCTGTACTGCTCTTCCTCCAGATATTCAAATGGCTTACTCTTTGACCTCCTTTGAGTGTTTGTTCAAATGCCTCTATCTCAATTAGGCCACTTTGATCACCCATTTAATTACAACCCACACCTCACAGGTAATCCCCAGCCCTCTTACCCTGTTTTCTTCATAGCACTCATACTGTACTATACTATGTAATTTACCTATTTATTATGCTTCCTATCAAGTTTCTTTCTCCTAGGATGTAAGCTAATGAAAGCAGAGATTATTGTCTCATTTCCTGGTGTACCCCCAGCACCTAGAACACTGTTTGGCACATGGTAGAGGCTCAATAAACATTTGTTGGGCGAATACATGAACGAACCCTTATCCCTGAAGCTGACTAAAATCAGTATCTAGTAACTGGTTTATTAGCATCTTCTAATGAGAAACCTTCATATATGTTCCTTGCACATTTTCATTTTACAAGTCACTGTAAAATATCATTAACTTACATTCATTTCATAATTTAAAAAAGACTGTTTTTCCTGGGTTGAAAATTTTAGATTCTCAAATTCATTAACAGAAGGTTTTCTGAGTAAATTAACAGAAGGTGTGTTTACTTAATGTTTAAGGACATGTACATTTCATACAAGTTGCATGGGTTACAAATTAGGATATAACTATTTATTTTGAAAAATAATCACCAAGGGCTTACTATGCATCAAGGTATTCTGGGGCATAAAAAAGCAAGTGTTCTCACTGAGGGATGAATAGTCTACTAGCAACTGTAAGACAGTTGCACGAATAATGATGATACAAAGAGGTATCCGATGAATATAATGTAGCAGGATAAACAAAATGGCAGTGGAAAACAGGAGTAAAACCAAAGGGAAGGATTCTGAGAAGACTATTTATAATGGGAACTAAAATTGTCAGCTGAAGCTCAGATGGCGGTAGAGGCATTCCAGATGGAGTATAGAAAATGAATGAAGACCAAGGACAGGACAGAAATATCTGGGGTGCACTCACTAGGTGAGTGTGTCCAGACATTGAAAGAGGATGAGCAGAGGAAGAGAACAGGAGAGGTAAGAACTAAAAAGGTGGTATTAGGTCCTGGAAGGTCTTAAATATCAAGCTAAAGAGTTTTACTGCCAAGCTACAGAACTTTATCAAATGCCATACTGAGAAGACTGATCGATTTATTAAAGCAAACTCCTAAAGGATCTCTTCTTGGAAACAATTCATTAGTGGTTAGTGTGGAATCTCAGTGTGGCACGGAATAAAGTAAAGTACATGGGTAACGGCCCCAGAAAAACCAGAGCACAGCCCAGCGCATTACCACTCATCGCCTGGGTGATCTTGGGAAGGTTACCTAACCTCCGGTAGCTTTAATTTCCTCACCTGTAAAATAAGGCTAATGATGTGTATTTTGTAAAGCCAGTATGAGGATAATAAAGTGCCTGACACATAATATAGGGTCCCCTGAAATGTTAGTTCTCTTATTTTATCTTGTTGTAAAAATTGCTTGTAAATTGTATGGTATATGAATTATATCTCAGTAAAGCCATTACAAAAAAAAAAAAAAAAAAAAGCCCATGATGTATATTTTTCACTAATCCAAACTGTCTTTTCTCCTAATTGGTGTTAAGTAGGGAAATTACATTGAATACAGCAGGCGAGGTTCATCTGCAAAGTGAAGACATACTCCCCCTAAGGATTTAAATAGTGATTCTAGTTTCAACACACAGTTGAGTAAACTTTCAAAAATGATTATCTGTAAACCAAGACAAATTTCATTTTATTATTATGATTTCCATTCACAACTTTTCTCCCTTGAAAACTTTCTCTCTCCTAACCCTGAAATAAGCTTTCTCCTGCAGTCAGACTAATTTCTAAATATGAGTTCTATGATCCTTTGATGCAGACTGTGAAGTAGTACAGAGAGAACAGATTAATATATGGCCTTAATGAAACTGCTCTGTTTGGTCAAATTCTCTCTGTTCAGTGAGGCTGAGGACAGAGATCTCATTAAATAACCACAGGCATTTCAATTCTAGATAAAAGAATTGTAATTTTTCTTTCTGAAGTCAATTCCATGACTAATTTTGCATTTGCCCATCCATTTGCCTTCAAAACTGGCCTCAAGTCCTACTTAACTCCATCAAGCCTTCCTCAAACGACAAAACACACTGTATCTACTACTCACCCTAGTAGGCTGCATAGTCTACCCTAAGATGACAATGACAAGTGTCCCTATAAACCAGGAACTGTGCTTGGCATATGCCATTTCATTTGAATGTTACATGAACACCAGGAGGCCGGAGTTATTGTGGCGTGTAGGTAAAGAGACTGAGATGCAGTAACAGCTGAAGTGATATGGCTGGTAAGGTGGAGAACTGGGATGCAAAACTGTCCACCCCTAAAGCTGGCTCTCAACCATCATGCCGTGCTGCTTCCACACTGGGAGGGACACTGTAGTCACCTTGTCATGTCAATTGTTGTTTAATGAATAGGTCTTGTCTAACCAACTTGAACACTGTATGGTGTTCTACATAGAGTGACATCATAGACATTGAAGAAATATTTTATTGATAATTTTGACACGCTTTTGTGTTCCTAGATCATATATTTCCACTGGAAACTCTGAAAGCATTCTTAGCCTATATTGTGTTTAGGCTATTTGTTGCCTAACTCTTCTAAGAAAACAACAGAGAATGTAGCAGTCAGTCTTCCTACTGTGTACCAGGCAGAACAATAAGAAAGCCTAGGAAAACCAATTTTGCATGTTAAGAGGCTGAAATAAGAAGCTATACAAAAAATGTTGACAGCAGATTATTTAAATGGAGAAGGAGCAGGCAGCAGAGCTCCTTTAGAAAAGAAGCTGCAGTGGTTCACCTCAGATACAGTTCTGCTTAATAACTACTCCCAATAGGTAAGTCAGTCATATGCTGCATATATTTAAATGTGAACAAAAGTCTGCATTTGAAATTGTAACTGATAAGAGAGAAAAGCAATCAAGAACTTTTGTCTTTCACAGAGTAACCAGAGATTCTTTCTCAAATCCCACTCATTTCAAATATGAACTAGGCATCAGCAGATGACTTTTATTTAGTACAATAAGCTGCTCCCATTTCAGCTCTAGTACAAAGACTAGAGGATGAAAGAACACACTCTGAGAAACAAAGTACAGTTGTGAGGGAAAAGGAAAATAAAAGTATGTTTTTGGTACCGATGACCTCTTATGGTCTTCTACAAAAGAACCATGTCTTTAAAACATCAGTAAAAATTAATACATGCTGAGACCTAGACTGTCCAATAAGGTAGCAGCCACAAGCCACACATGGCTACTGAGCACCTAAAATGTGACTACTCCAAATTGAGATGTGCTGTAAGTATAAAATACACACCAGATTTTAAAGACTCAGTACAAAAAGAGACTGTAAAATATCTCAGTAATTTTGTATACTGATTGCATGTTGAAATACTATTTTAGATATACTAGGTTAAATATGTTATTTTTAAACATTAAAATTAGTTTTGCCCATTTCTTTACTTTTAAAGGCCACTGGAAAAATTTAAATTATGTATGTGACTTGCATTATATTTCTGTTGGACGGTACTGGTATAGATGATGTTGCAGAAAAAACAGGGAAAGAAATTCTCCATTGTGACTCAATAGACTTAAGATTTCAGTCCTTCGTAACAGCCTGCTATAGAGAATTCCTTTTTCCAGAAGATGGGCATTTTTGGTGTAATATAAGCATGGGACTTAAAATTACAGCAGCCTCGGTTTACATTTGATCTGTGCCACTGACTAGCTCTGAAGTCCATGACATAATCTCGGGTAAGTGACTTAGCTCAGGGCAAATGTATCTCCTAATCCTATTATGAGGGTTAAATGCAATAATATAAAAAGCCCAGCATTTTAAATGGGAAACATTATGATTCTCCCAAGAAAATTTCTGTGACATGCTTCTAACATATTTTGGTGGCACTTCATTTAAAAAAAAAAAAAAGACTAATAGGCCAGGCACGGTGGCTCACGCCTGTAATCCCAGCACTTTGGGAGGCTGAGGCGGGCGGATCACGAGGTCAGGAGATCGAGACCATCCTGGCAAACATGGTGAAACCCCGTCTATATTAAAAATACAAAAATTAGTCAGGCATGGTGGTGCGTGCCTGTAGTCTCAGCTACTCGGGAGGCTGAGGCAGGAGAATTGCTTGAACACGGGAGGGGGAGGTTGCAGTGAGCCGAGATCATGCCACTGCACTCCAGCCTGGTGACAGGGCAAGACTCCATCTCAAAGAAACAAAACAAAACAAAACAAAACAAAACACTAATAATATTAGTGGTCTCATGGTTACTGTTTGTAAAGACTTCAACTTCTGAATTTTAATAAAAAGAACTGTACTGTTAGGGAAGATTATAAAATTTTCATTTTTGGAGATCTTTAGGAAAAAAAGAAGCATATTATTTCTCTTGGAAAGTATAAATCACGAAGTTCAGCAGGATGATAGGTTAGTTAATACTATTTGTAAAAAAGAGGCAAATCTAGTTCTAAAACTCAACTGGATAATGTTGGGGAATTCATGTAACATTTTTGGAATACTGATTTCCTCACTTATCAAATGCTGGTGGCTGACTAAATGATCTCTGAAATCTCCTTCAACGCTAAGGTTTTTGTCAACAACGAACCTAGAGGTCAAACATGCATTTCTTTATTTTATTTTTTATTATTTATTTATTTATTTATTTATTTATTTTTTGAGATAGGGCTTTGCTCTGTCACCCAGGCTAGAGTACACTGGCACAATCTGGGCTCAGTGCAGCCTCTGCCTCCCAAGCTCAAGCAATCCTCCCACCTCAGCCTCCCAAGTAGCTGGAACTACAGGCTAGGGCCACAAAGCCCGGCTAATTTTTGTAATTTTTGTAGAGACGGGGTTTTGCCACGTTGTCCTGGCTGTTCTCAAACTCCTGAGCTCAAATGATCTGCCCACCTGACCCTTCCAAGGTGCTAGGATTCCAAAGTGTGTGAGCCACAAATATAAATTTATATTCACTGCTTTCAAAGCTATCCAGCTTAATAGTTTATTCTTATTTCTCACCATCCTTGCAGAATAAAAATAAAAGTCTATACATCTATTTTAGGGGTGCTTCCTGACAAGCCTTCTATAATAACTCCTTGCCCAAGGTGTTGTCCTATAAACTTCCACAAACCCATTCTCCCCACTGCAAATATTTCCTCTCGATACATCTACCTATGTATCCTGCTTAGTGCTGTATATGTTTAGAAGCCAGAGTTAAAAAAAGAAAACTACTATTTTTCCCATCCTCAACTCCAAATTCTGGTTTAACTGCTGTCACCTTTTTTAACCAACATATTTATTAAATCTGAAAAAGGTATACAGCAAAATGAATGTGTCATTTAACTGAGTGTCAAAAGTAACAAAAACTATCTGTAACACAATTACTTGTGGAATGACCTGCTGATGGCTGGTTAAGGTTTACCAGGATTAAACAGGATTCTTAACTAGGAATTTTATTTTATTTTCTGATCTGAAGATTAAATAAACCAGCTCCAGCTTTGCCCTAGGAATGCATGGGACTTTAAGAAATTAATTTTGCTTTCTGTAACATAGCCTGCTTATCTCTAAAAAGAATTAATAATAACTGCACACTCAAAGGCATTGTGACCCCACCAGAAAGGCTCGGTACAAGCATAAGCTATTAAATCTCAAATCGGCAGATCTCACAGTAAAAGCAGACATATTAACAACACAGTGTTGAGGCAAAATTTTGAAAAGGCAGGAGTTTTAAACATACACACACTCACAAAAGAATGCCTTATTGCTACCCAATGACCCGATGATCGGGTATTTTTCTTCCTCCTAGAAAGCCTTGCCTTCCAGGTGCTAAAGAAAGCCAGTCTGGAAGCTTATTTTTACAATCAGCCCAATTCTTCTAGTTACTCAAGGAGAACGTGTTAAGGGGTTCTTCCCTTTGCATAGGAAAATAGCACTTGTAAATCACCAATAGTTGAATTAAGATCTCTGACTGCTTTTTCAATTTGTGGTGATGTAAATTAAGAGATTTTAGAGAAAAATCACTTTTCCACGCAGTAAGAGCACTATTTTGCAGCATTACTAATTAAGAGCATACAAGCTGTGGAGTCAGATTATAGTTCTATTGCTGTTCTGCTTGTACCATCATATACAAAGGCCTCACTCAATCCAATGTGTTCCTCCATTAGGGCACGCTTTGTCCAGTAGGGCCCGTGTCTTTTTCATCAATAATCCATGCTCTTCCCTCTTCCTTCTCAACCAAACTCCTCCAAAGAGCTTTAACCCAGGGAGGCTGGCAGTGCATAGTTTCAGCCTTTGTCCTCACCATCTTTTTAACACCTTTCCCCACCCCCAGCCAGCAGTCATCATGAGGACCTTCCTCAATCCAAGCCCAACCTGCATCCCTTTCTAGTATGTTGCAATAAATAAATATATTTCTAAATGTGTGATAATCCAGGAACTAACAGCCTGAGAGTGCCCAATTATAATAGATCAATTAATACCCTAAGAATATAAGGCTAAACTTCTGAAAAATCCTGTCCTATTTCAGTTCTCTTGGACCTATTAAGAACAAGTAGACATGACAATAATTTAGGTTTCCTGCAGTAAAAAGTAACATCAAACAAATTAACACTCCAAGAGATGACGCAACTGTTACCTGGGGAGCACACTGAGAATGGCATAGCAGCTCCTGAGATTGGGGTGTGTTTCAAATGACATAATGGGTAACTGCTGTTTCTCCAGCTAACAATATAAACCCAGCAATGAAGGATATTTTCAAAGCACCCACCTTGTTGAGGACATCTCGCTGGCAGCCAAGATAAAGATTGGGAAGAATTCGGGTTGGCCCAATGTTGGCAACAGGTAAGCAAGGCTGAGAAATGCAGGTAGGGACTAGAGTGGATTTTCCTTCACAGAGGCCAGGGAAACAACGAGAGAACTCAGCAAACCCACCTAAGAATAAACATTATAAAATTATAAAAAATTATGCCACGCACAAAATAAAAACCAGCTTTCTGTGAACTGCTCAAACAGTTTAAACCCACGAATCCAAGTGGATATCACTGCACACCTATTCCTGGCTACAGCTGCTGATGCTAAGACTGAAGCATAATCCAGCACTAGGCCTGGCCTATAACGCTACCATGGGGATAGGCAAGTCCTGAAGGCACTTATAATGAATGACTCCTCTCTCTCAGATATTCTCTTCATCTTCACATACCCTACAACATTTGCTCCCCACTCCCCATGCAAATGTTTTTTTTTGTAAAACATAAAGAGGATTTAAAGTTAGTAGCAAGTAACCAAGCCAATAATTCACAGAAGCAGAATGGGGATGTAAGAAATGAAAACTGAGGCTGAATGCAACTTCTTCAAAATAAAATTGATCGAGTCAAAAATTCTTTCTACAACTAACTTTAAATCTTCTTACCATACAAATTTTTTACTGCAAAGGTATCACAAACATACTCCCACCTACGAATATTCTATCAAGTTCTGGGGATTCCCTGGGCAGTTAGTCAAGGTCTCCATAATTACCACTGATGTCTGGAGAGCTCCCGTTCATCTCAGCAAGCACTATAAAGAAGTGCTGACAGACTAATTGCTTAGGGTGCAGGAAGGCTTTGTGGCAAGATTACTGAACTCAGAATTAGAAGAATTCAGTTTTTTCTAGTCCTGTCCTTACAATGATCTGCTCTATGACCTTCACTAAGTCACAGTCTTGCCACCACTCAATGGAGTGAAATCTATGTAGCCAAAGGAGGTGCTTTCACTCCCTCCGGGAAAAGAAAAAATGAGTAAGGTTATTTGCTTTCCAATCTAAATATTCCTTGCTGTCCAAACCCAAACACCAAACAGATTCTGATAAATTTTCAGATATACGCCTTGCTATTCAAACCCTCGCTATTCACTAAGTCCGAATCAAGGAGATTTGGATGACGGGATCCTCGTATATTTTTAACATTAAATTTAAAAACAAGGCAGGGCTCGGTGGCTCACGCCTGTAATCCCCGCACTTTGGGAGGCCGAGGCAGGCGGATTGCCTGAGGTCAGGGGTTCGAGACCAGCCTGGCTAACATGGTGAAACCGTCTCTACTAAAAATACAAAAATTAGCCAGGCATGGTGGTGGGTGCCTGTAATCCCAGCTACTCAGGAGGCTGAGGCAGGAGAATCGCTTGAACCTAGAAGGCGGAGGTTGCAGTGAGCCGAGATTGCGCCACTGCACTCCAGCCTGGGCAACAGAGCAACACTCCGTCTCAAAAACAAAAATAAAAATAAAAAAACAACAAATAACATGTTAAGTCTTATTAGAAGATAGTACCTTTTTAACTGAGCCTTGAACAAGATCCTGAAATCTGACTCAAGTATTTATCTTCATCTCTTTGAGTTATATTGTATTAGACTTTCTCCCACTTCAAGAAACACACAAAATATGCCCTTGAAAACTGCTAGAAGTGCAGGAAGTTGAGAGGGAATCATCTTTCATTATGCCCTGTATTATGTTTAATTCAAGCATAATTCAGCCAGACGCCTGTCTCTACTGTCTAGGCTCAGTGCAGGGTCCTCAATGCAACAAGTTAGAATGGTAGGCAGTTGACAACTATGCCACCTGCAGAATGTAAAAAGAGTGGCCTGGCCTCCAACCTGACCAAGTGTCTTTCTATATATTTTTTAACACAGAAGCAGTTAAAGCTCTTCCACTTACTGAAGTTCTTAAGGTAATCTGATAGGCAGAATACATGGATCCATTATAGAAATCACAAATTCCTTTGTGTCACAGGCCCTCAGGATACCTGCACCTTACAGTTTCATGGTTTCATTTTTTTTTTTTTTTTTTGAGACGAAGTTTTGCTCTTGTTGCCCAGGCTAGAGTGCGATGGCATGATCTCAGCTCACTGCAATCTCCGCCTCCCGAGTTCAAGAGATTCTCCTGCCTCAGCTTCCTGAGTAGCTGGGACTACAGGTATGCACCACCACCCTCGGCTAATTTTGTATTTTTAGTAGAGACGGGGTTTCTCCATGTTGGTCAGGCTGATCTGGAACTCCTGACCTCAGGTGATCCACCTGCCTTGGCCTCCAGTTTCATTTCTTACCGTTTCCAATGATGACCTCCAGCCACATAAAACTCATTGTTATTTCACATTTCCATGCCGTTCTCTTGTCCAAGAATACCACCCTCACACCGCCCCATGCATGCACACGTAGAAGCCACGGTACATACAGCATACACATGTGGGCAAGCCCCATGATCATACAGCAGAGGAAGTAAGAACACAAGCCCTTGTACCTGAGTTCCTGTCCTGGCTTTACCACTTTCTAGTTGTCTGATTTGTCAAGTTACTTAAGCCCCTCCTACTCTAATTTCCTCATCTATAAAATGAGGATAATGATCACACCTATCTCACAGAGTTGTTGAGATAATTAGTTAGTATATCAAAAGTATTTTGTGCCTGGCGTATAGTAAAGCACTCAGGAGGTATCACTGGTTATTGCTTTTTTTTTTTTTTTTTTTGAGACAGAGTCTCACTCTGTCGCCCAGGCTAGAGTGCAGTGGCGCGATCTTGGCTCACTGCAACCTCCGCTTCCCGGGTTCAAGCGATTCTCCTGCCTCAGCCTCCCGAGTAGCTGGGACTACAGGCGCATGCCACCACATTTGGCTAATTTTTTATTTTTAGTAGAGACAGGGTTTCATCAAGTTGGCCAGGCTGGTCATGAACTCCTGACCTCAGGTGATCTGCCCACCTCGGCCTCCCCGTTTTTTTGTTACGGTGATCAAACATTCAGTATCTAGCGCCATCTGTGGGGCCTTCCTCCACCTTTGAGCTGCGGCTGTTTAGCTACACCTCCTTAGTATTCATCTGAGACAAAAAGTGGAAAAAGGAATGCCTGTAAGGTTAACTTCCCAAAGTGTGCCCCAGAGCACTGGCGTCCTGCAAGAAGCTGACAGACAGGATAGCGGTCTAAAAAGTGAGAGAAATATTGTATATCCTAGCTCCCTGGCAGAGTCAGAGCACATGTTAACTTACTAAAGGTTCTAAAAAGTATTTTCAAAGAAACTGGTTTCATTTATTGAAGTCTAGTAAGTTTCCCCAAACTTATCTGACCATGGAATTCCCCCTAAAATATATTAATAGCTAGTAGAATTCACACTTACAAAATGCTACGCTAGGGTCAAAGCAACTACTGAAATGGAGTCAATCAGAACTCCTGTACTTACAAGTACAACCCACAGACAATCTCAAAAAAAGGGGGTCAGCCAATATTGGTATATAAGTGCCCACTGTTTAGAATTTATGCTTTTGTTTCTATTCGTGTTTTGTTCCTTTTCAGTCTCTCTAATTGAATAACACAGTCATTATTTAAGTGAGTTTTTTCCCCAAGGTAGTTCTTGTAACAATAAATGTTAAAGATTCTCATCATTCTTTGCTTTTCTTACACCTACCCAACCTAACAACTGTCAGGCACTATTTTAATTACAATTAAATTGTATGATGTTAAATTTTAATGTGGTGTCTATTAACATGTAGTTTTGGTGTTTCTCTTTTTTTTCTTAAAGACAGGGTCTCACTCTGTTGCCTAGGCTGGAGTGGCATGATCTCAGCTCACTGCAACCTCTGCCTCCCAGGCTCAAGTGATCCTCCCACCTCAGCTTCCCGAGTAGCCAGGGCTACAGGGGAACACCACCACGCCCAGCTAATTTTTGTATTTTTGTAGAGACAGGGTCCTTCCTATGTTGCCCAGGCTGGTCTCAAACTCCTAGGCACAAGTGATCTACCCACCTTGGCCTCCCACAGTGCTGGGTTTACAGGCATGAGCCACTGCGCCCTGCCAGTTCTGGTGTTTCTCTAAAGAACTGTCTTCATATATTTTTCAATTCTGGCTCTAAAACAGTTCCTGGAATGGTTGTCATTTAAATTCAACAAAACAGCTTGGGCAACATGGATAAACCCAATCTCTGTTAAAAAAAAAAAAAAAAAAAAAGAAAGAAAGAAAAAATTAGCCAGGCATGGTGGAGTATTCCTGTAGTTCCAGCTACTTGAGAGGCTGAGGTGGGAGGACTGTTTGAGCCCAGGAGGTTGATGATGCAGTGAGCTGTGATCGCACCACTGCACTCCAGCCTGGGTGACAAAGTGAGACCCTGTCTCAAAAAAATACATACATACATCCAACAAAACAATATTCCAATAAATGTTCTCAAAGAGAAAACAGAGAATCCAAGGAAACACCACTTGAATTTCATTTGAACCTTATAAATGATTATTTTTATAAATAATGTATGTAATCCTAGAATGTACTGAACACTTACTGCGTGACAAACATTGCTCTAAGCACTCTATAGGTATTTACACACTCTTACAGCTGCCCTATGAGATAGGTGTTACTACTAATCCCATTTATAGATAAGGCTCAGAATCACATAATATAGGCTCAGAATCACGTAATATAATAACCGGAAGAGCCAGGTTATAAGTCTACTTTTCTAAATCCTATGGAATTACTTTCAACTCTCCCTTGGATGCAGGGACAGCCTTGCTGATGATATTCATGGGGTCCTGGCCTCCCCAGCTGTGACCAGGCTAAAAAGGCCATGGTCCTCTCCCAAACTGATGGAAGAGCCTTGTTTCCCCAAAGCTATATCGCTCAAAGGCTTCAATGAGGGAGAAGGAAGAAGATCCGACAAGAACAGAGAAAGGAGAATCTCTTTAAAGGCAATTTCACATGACACCAATAACAAAGTTTACAGATGAACTGGTTGAAATGTAAATATGGTCACTGGTTTGTTCATGACCACCATTTACAAGTTGGTAGTAGACCTTGGCTGTCAGGTCACCCCCCACAGAACAACTTTCAGAGGAGATGCAATTCTGCAATAATCATAAACTGAGCCATCAGCCAGGCTGTTCGAGGTCCAGTTCTATCGTTAATTGGTACAGTGATCCTAGATCACTTTGATTTCAGTGGACCTCAAAAGTAAGTGTGGCTCTAGAAAGTTCTAAGACAGAGAACAGAAAGGAGAGAAAGAAACCATTGTTCAGCTTCAAAACAAAAGAGCCAAACAAAACAACACTACACTGTAAAACACATTATAAAACAAAAAGAAGCCTCTTTTTCACAAATCTTTCTCAACTGATATCTAGAACAAACTCAAACAAATATTTAAAAATATTTAACAGATTTAGCTGCAATCAGAACATTCATTTAGTGCTCAGTTTGGCTTGAAATGTCCCAGACTGGCTCCCAGTCACTTCCAGAAAACCCTACCTCAGCCAGAGCACATTTTCACTGATCTTTATCTATGACAATGTTCCACTCTGCTGACATCCTCCTTCATTGACAGTTTTTTCCATTCACTGACCTTTCATTCACTGCTGCACTCTAGTGACTCCAGTTTCGTTTCATTAATTAACAACAGATGAGACACTGCCTGATTTCCCTTGGACCTCTAAAAACTAACTGTGGCCTCACCAGCAACTCAGTTTTGAAACATGCTTAAAATGTCCCTCTTCCTTTCGTAAGTTCTCTTACAAACAAGATCCACTTCAGAAGAAAAGTTCATTTATGCAAACGTTCTGCTCCAAATGGCTAACGGAGACAAAGAATCAAGCGTCCTCTTATCTGCCCTTATCATAACTTTGTTGTCCCAGGGACTCCAAGCTAGATTCCATTACAAGACATAACATCAGTCCGTTATCCGCTATTTACTGTGAAAAGCAGTACCGAAAAACTGATAAGCTTCTTGAAAAAATTTGCGCCTATTTTTTAAAGTTGTCTGAAGACTTGGCTCACTGTCCAATCTTGCCAAGTTTCTCCTATTCCTAATTTTATGCTGTTTATCATCTGGGAATGCAGAAAACAAAGTCATAGTAACCCACATGTGTTTCCCTAACATGGACCTGAACCTAAGAATGACTGTGCCCCCTACTCTGGAAGTATCTGTGCTAAGAGGAAGGAAGACAAATACACAGCTATTTCCAGCCTGCTGAGAAACAGGGATGGGCAGTCCCTGCAGGCAGAGAAGCGTCTTGGCCTCTACAGCTGTGGATGCACAGGCAGCCAGACCGCAATGCTAAAACCCATGTTTCTGTTAGTCTTCCATAAATCCAACCAAAAGAATGCATGTTTACAAATAAAAACATAGATACTACTTCCGACACAGAAAACATCTGGTACAGCTTCTAAGGCATTCCTCATTTAGATAACACCTTCTCCTAATTCAGCCATGAAAACGTCTTCCCTTAAGATCACCTCCTTCACAATTCCAATTATAAATATGATTTTCTGTAAAAGCAAACGTGAACCACCATTCCATTTTGGGGGGGAAAAATCTGCCAAGTAAAATAAAATACATATAACAACTCTACTAAACAATTCCAATTAGTCACTCTTTTCTCTTCCCTCTCACCCATGCAATCAGTTATATATCACAGTATTTTCTTTAAATGAAAGTATATTTACATAATAAACAAAAGTAGCACTTTACTGTGGCTTACTGATATTCTTAAAATGTTTTTAAGGCCAAAGTTCTAAAAATAGATCCCTCTCCTTTTAGCAGTTCCATGACTTTAAAGATGGTTTCCTGCAGGGAGAGACAGAGGGCCTTTCCACTCATGCCTTCATTTAAATAGGGAGCAAGTCACTAGGGATTTATCAACTGGCAGAGCCGCCTTCAAGGAAGGCAGAATCAAAGAGAACTGCCCTCCCACCCTATATTGTGAATGGATTCCATGGTTATACAAAGAAATAATATTGATATAAAGCTCTACTTTATGGAAGACATTTTCCTAAAAAGTCATATGCAAATTTAACTTTTGTATTTTAAATCATCTGCATATAGTTCATATGGTTTCACAGTTTTTGAACTATGCGGTTAAATTCTTGTTGTTGTTGTTTTTTGGAGATGGAGTTTCACTCTTGTTGCCCAGGCTGGAGTGCAATGGTGCGATCTCCGCTCACCGCAACCTCCACCTCCCGGGTTCAAGCAATTCTCCTGCCTCAGCCTCCCGAGTAGCTGGGATCACAGGCATGCGCCATCATGCCCGGCTAATTTTGTATTGTTAGTAAACACGGGGTTTCTCCATGTTGGTCAGGCTGGTCTCGAACTCCCAACCTCAGGTGATCAGCCCGCCTTGGCCTCCCAAAGCGCTGGGATTACAGGCGTGAGCCACCGTGCCCAGCCATTAAATTCTTTTGTAGTTCTCAAGTAGTTTAATTCTTTTGTAAAACAAAACTCCCTTTTTGTAACATAAACACAATCCTTTCATTTGCTTATTTTAGAATATATGTGAAAAACTAGAGTACACCTTCACCTGTAGAGGACAGTTCTCTCTTCTCTCCATACTGGAAAGAAAATCTGTTGCTTTACCATCACACAAAGGAGACAACTCTAACATTAAAAATGGAAAATACTGAAAATGTTTATTTTGCAGTAAAGTACTTTAATTGCTCTTAAGAGTAATTCTGTTATGCCTCAGTCTGACATGTCTGATTTAGGCAACTTTATTCTCTAGACACTCAAAAACAGACTAAAGTATGGTCACAATTCTTTCGGGATCAGCAGACAGTAAACATGGAGAGTTGAAACTAGTTGAAGAAAAGAAAAGAAAAAAAAAAGCAACATAATTTCATACCCCTAAAGAAAGCAAACAAAATATGTAACTAATGTTTCAATGTAGATACTTTGGTCTGGATAAGCCAAGCCACACAGGTTTGGTAAATTACTCCTAGGAAGGTAGAGAGCATAGCATTTTTTCCACAGCATTAGCAGCATTCCACCTTTTCCCATATAGCCAACTCTCCAATTGAGCCATACTAAAGAGAAAAATCCCAAATGATCTAAAGCATTAATTTAAAGCTCTTATTCCATCCACCCCCATCTACTGGAGCACAGACCAAGAGGAGAGTGGATAGATACGCATTTCTCTTTCAGGAAGGCTGACAAGTAGCCTACATCTCACAAAACTTATCCCATAAATGACACCTCCAAAAGAGCTTGCCCTATATTAAACAACCCTATCACGTGACACAGTTGGGAAATGGGAAATTCTATCTAATTTTGGTATTAGGACATATGCAACAGTTATGACATACACAACAGTTATGACATACACAACAAATGAATGAAAAATTTTCAAAGCACCAGCAGACAAATCACTAAACACTAAAATTATGCAACTTATAATTTCTTATGACTCAGAATGTCCAGATCTTATAACTCAGGATAATATTTAAATCAACTCCATCAGCAACATCCAGATGTGTTATTCAAGAAGGAAGAGTTCTCAGAAGATGTAGACTGGTAACTATTCTGCTGATCTTTTAAATTGGCAATACATAACTATGCCCAGAAAAACTCCTCTTAAACGTCCTGAAACAAAGATTGTTCTAAAGACTGCAACCAGAATAACCCATCAAAAGGAATACAGCCAGAATCTACCACTTGGCTGAACAGAATTAACAAGCTCTGTAGGTAGGAGAGCCAGAGTCACAGAGTCTCCCTACTATTTTCCTAACACATCTGTGCTTTCCCGCCTTTAGGCTTTTGAAAAGTCAACCTTTCCAATCCATTTTGTATTTCCTTCTAAACCACAGGCAAGCACAAGTTACACCTCTTCTATAGCAGTATGGTCCCAAAATTTTTTTACCAGGATCAACAAAATACATTTTACACTCAAACCCTCTGAACACCTACACATACTCACCACTAAGACAAAAGTTTCATGATACTATCTTCCCTAATTCTGTTGCGTTTAAAGAAAAAAAAAAAACAAACTTCCTTGAGCAGCGTATCTAGACATGGTCCAGCTTAGAGGCTCTATAAAATTTATACCAATCATTTGGCAGTACCTACCACTGACCTAGTAACTGTGAAATAACTGTGTATGTGTTGTGACCCGTCTTACTTCTCCAGCTATTGTGAGCTGCTTATGGATAAGAATTATCCATAATTCTTTGTAATTACCTCAGCATTTAGCATAGTGCCTGGCACATAATTAGAATTCAATAAATGTTTATTGAATCCTTCCTTGTTACAATGAATAGCTGTTGATGGACATAAGTCTTGTATATTTTTGGTGTTCCGAAGGATTTCCTGATTCCATTCAAAGCCAAAAGCTAGTTGGTGTGGGTGGGGGCACAAAATCTGCTTCCTATTCCTAGACCACAATGCCCCAGAAGACTCTCAGGGTGAGTGAGGAGGCACAGGGCAAGAAAAAAACATTTTTTCTTCTACTACAGGAAAAAAGATAAAATTGGCGAGTGTCACTTTGGTTATCCAAAAGCGACACTGAATCCTTACTATGATTCTGCTGTATCCACAGGACTTTACATAAAAGGGAAAGAAAATTTTTTCTGATGCCCCTAAATGGCGCAGGACTCCACACCGGTGTGGAGAGTCCCGTAATATATCTCCATGGCTCAGGGAATCAGGGCACATCCCATAGGAAACCAATGAGACACCAACTATGATTATACCCCAGATGAGGATGGTGTGGCTGCTGGACATGTCTATAATCATCATCAAAATGGATAATGAAATGAGATTATCCATAGGGGAAACTTGATGAGTCAAGAGGAAAAAGGAATACAAGTCTAGTGTCTGGAGAATTATTCAAGAATAAAATCTGACTAACTTGTAAACTGTCCATGAATCACACTATACAGCTCACTTCTCAGGCTATCCATGTGAAGCGCAAAGCTTTCTAAGCCATCTAGCCACAGGCTCTCCCCTAAGACCACTTCTGTATATTCCACTCTGTGTACAGTCCTCCTCTTTGGCCAACTACACATTTTGACAAGAGACGTCATAGAGCAGTGAGGGAGAAAGGGATAACTGCGTTTCACATATAAGTTCAAAAAACACTTAATAGCACCTACTATGAGTTTGACATAGCGCTAGGTAATGGAACAGTGGTGACCAAGACAGAGAGCCTTCTCTGGAGTTGACAGTTTTATGGGATAAACTTTAACCAAATAATTAGATGAATAATTAACTAATTATGGTAAGTGGCCAAAGGCATATGGAAACCAACTTTGCCTGGTAGCTAGGGAAGGCTTGACAACCACATTGAATCTAGCAGGAAAACAACTAGGTAAATAGCAGAGAGAAGAGCCCAGGGCAGAGGACAGAGCCTCTGTGAAGGCCCAGGGTGCATGATGTCTTAGGTTTAGAGCAACAGGGAGGAGGCCTAAGGAGCTGAGGCAAAACAACAACTGAGGACTTAAAGTGGCACTGGATGAAGTTAGCAAGGTAGGCAGAAGCCAGCCACTGCAGGGCCTTGTGAATCAGTTAAAAATTTTGTAACTTATCTTAAGAGCACTGCATATTATTGATGCATATTAAACTGGGAAGTGATGTAATCTGAATTAGTTAAAAACACAAAATAAAAATGTAACTTTGGCTGCAGTGTGAGCAATGGATTGGAAGGTGGCAAGACAGAGCATGTGAACAGATCAGTTAAGAGGCTCCTGGAGCAACCTGGGGGAGGAATAACATTCAACTGACTTCATGGTAGCAGAAGACCAGAAAACCAGACAGACCGAAGAGGTTGGAAGAAAGATCTGGTGACTAAGAGATGACAGGTATTGCAGCCATATCTCCAATAGCTCACAATACCCATCACCTTAAAGTACAAATTCTTCCTTCTGATTTAAAGAGCTTACATAATTTGATCTCATGTCCTCTCAATTCCCATTTCTCTCCTTCACAAAAAATCCACTCTGGTCTGCTCACTGCCCCTCCAAATCTATGTTCATTCCTGACATTTTTAATCATGTTCTTTCCCCCTCAGAATGCGCAGAACCCTCCCTACCCAAATCTTACTCCTCATCTTTCAAGGTTTGATTAAAATTCCACTGCCCTAATCAAGTCTTCCCTGACTTCTGCAGACTACTCTGAATCATCCCTTATCACTGTATCATACATTTTAGCAAATGATCATATACTTCTCTTTCTTTCATCCACTTTAGGTGCATTTCCCCAAATTAACCACTACATTCTCAAAGGCAGGGGCAAGCCTTTTGCTTTTCCAATATCTTCACCCCCGAGAGCCCAGTCCAAGGCACAGCCATGGAGGCACCCATCAAATATTGAGAGGCTGAGTGAGTGAAAGGGCTGAAGAATATGCTGGACCTGGTGTTTCTCTAGACTACACAGCTGCCCCACCTGGGGCAAGGGAAGATTGATGTCACTGTTGTCATCTGGGATGCTTTTGTTTGGTTTGTGCACAATATCAGGATGGGGAACCAAAGGACTATCTTTAAGCTTTAGTTGGCTCTCTAGTCTGTTTGTTTCAAAAGACAATCTCAAGCATGTGTCTTAGCCACTGGTAGCTGGGAAGAGACATGACTGACTCTCCACACTGGCAGATAGCAATCGGAGAAAAGATGATCCAATTTAGACGAATTCATGCCAACTGAGACTCAGAAACAGAGCCAGAAATACACAGCAGCCAGTGAGCAAACAGCACCTTTTTCCCCAGCTTTATTGAAGTATGATTAACAAACAAAAATTTTATCTGTTTAAGGTGTACAGCATGATGATGTGATATACATATACACTTGGAATGACTACCTTACCTCACATAGCCATGCTCTTTTTGTTGTGGTGAGAACACTTAAGATCTACTCTTTCAGCAAATTTGAAGTATATGGTACGTTTATTGTCAACCGTAGTCACCATGCTGTACAATAGGTCTCTAGAACTTACTCATCATATCACTGAAAGTCTGTACTCTTTAAGCAGCATCTCCCCATTACCCCAGCCCTCCAGCCCCTGGTAACCACCGTTCTACTGTTTTCATGAGTTTGACTCTTTTAGATCCACATGTGATACCATGCAGTATTTGTCTTTCTGTGTCTGGCTTATTTCAATTAGCATAATGTCCTCCAGGTTCACCCATATTGTTGCAAAATGGTAGGATTTCCTTCTTTTTTAAGGCTGAATATTCCATTGTGTGTGTATGTGTGCATACAGCATCTATTTTTAGTCTGTTTTCAGTGACTCTCAGTCACTGTAGTTTTTTAGACCCAAGAGCAGCCAGTTCCTTAATAATTGGCATACTTTTACTGAAATCCATTAATTTCAATCTCATTTACCAAGTTCTACAGGATTCGAAATGGAATTACTGAAGATTTCCCTTCTCCAGACAAAGGAGAAGAAACACCAAACTAGATAACAGAATTTATGGTAATAGCACAAAGAGCAAAATCCATAACCAGGAAGATCAGGTTCTATCATACCTCCATGAGGAAGGACAGTAATCAATTCTATTAAACCAAAAGTATACATTTATTACACAGAACTGTCATCAGAATCTAGATCCTTATTAAATTGAAAATGTGTAGAGTCTAATACATTTTTGTTCACTCGTAGGTCTAACTACAATAGTTAAGTTCAACTCAAAACGAAGAAATGAGTATTTGGCCTTTAACCATAGCAAACATTAATCGAAGACCTTTGCTGTGTTCTTAATAAATGGTATCTTCTATCCTTATTCACAGCTATACACCAGCATAAAACAGAGTAGACTTTTACTTGATGATCTCTTCTGGCTAACATAGTTTAATGCTTTAAAACAATTTATATACAGTGTATTTTTATAGATTGCTATATTCTATAAAGTATGAAGAATATGACTGAAATTCTCAAAAAGACTGAGAAAGAGCTATTACAAAAAGAGCCTTTCAGAATAAGCCTGATCTGAAATGGGCACCCTTGATTCCCAATCTAGCCTCCTGACAAAATTCCAGAAGACTCTGGAATTACTTGTGGATGTGGGCCTTGGGCAGCAAGAGCTTGGGAGAGTCACTCAGCAGCTCTGTTATTTTCCTCATTTGTAAATGAAAGGGCTGAAGTCTGTGGTTCATTTATGGTTTTCTCCCGCAATCGCTGTAGGGTTATTCTGTGCTGCATCACAGGACAGAAGGGAGTGCTGTGGAATTAATAAGCCTGGCAGAGCCCTTTTGCTTTTACTCAGGCTGTACTGGGGAAAGAGAAGGACATAGTAGAACAGCATTTTTCACATGCAGGTTGATCTTTATTTCTACTAAATTAACCCATTTACTCTCTTTTCCATATGTCAGCATAAAATAAAAGCCCAAATTCAATAGTTTTCCTTTTTTTCACATATATTTACTTCTAATCTGGCGCTCTTAGAAATAGACAAGTAGAATAAACTGATACATAGTGAATAAGTAAAAGCCAAGAAACAAGTTTATTTTTCAGAGAACTAGTTTTCTGCAGGTTGTTGAAAACACCAAAAAAGTTGCTCAATAAATCAATGTTGGCAACTGATTTTTTGGGTTTTCAAACTCATACTGATAAGTTTCTTATTTTTTTTTGAAGGATAGTCTTTTAGACTATTGATACAGAAATTTCACATCCATTGTCTAATACAATCCTCATAATAAGGCAAGCGTTATTATCTCTTTTTAGGAGCTGAAAAAATACAAGATAATTCAGGTTAAATGACTTATCCAAAGTTGCCATAAGGAGCAGAGACACACACAGAAAACACAGGCTACAGCTTTGACCCCTAGTCCATTGTTCTTTCCAGCTTAAAGGGATTTCCTCAATGCAGATGTTAGATCACCTAGGGAATGGGTGTGGGCATGGCACTGAGTTGATCAGAAGACCCTGAAACCTTCTGCAGATGCAGATACAGAGCCTGTGCTCAGGTAATACCTTTACCACTAGGACCTAGTTTTTCTTCCTCCTGCTCTTTTCTGATCCTTTTTCTTTAGTCAATATCTAAAGTTTAGCAGTAACACGAAAGATATTACCAACCCTTGAAAATGGTTCCTTTTTTGGATTCTCCAATCCCCATCTCTCCCCTTCCCCTCAATCTTAAATCTTACATCTGCAGGAGAAAAAACAAGAACAGGCCCGGCACATGGCATAGAGCATGGCACTACCTCTCTCTAGCTCTACCTTGTGTAATTTCTTTTTTCTTCTTTTGGAGACAGGGTCTTGCTCTGTCGCCCAGGCTGGAGTTCAGTGGCACAATCACGGCTCGCTGCAACCTCAAAACTCCTGGGATCAAGTGAGCCTTCCAAGTAGCTGGGACTATAGGTATGATACCACCGCACCCGGCTAATTTTTTAAATTTCTAGTACAGACGAGGTCTCTCTCTGTTGGCCAGGCAGGTCTCAAACTCCTGAGCTCAAGTGATCCTCCTGCCTCAGCCTCCTGAAGTGTTGGGAATACAGGCATAAGCCACCATGCCTGGCACCTTGTACAATTTCTATACCCAGATTACCTATTGCTCCCAGGAAGTTGGTCTTCTCTACGTTTATGACTTCTCATTACAAGTTCAAAATATAGTTTATCAGACACAAAGGACTTTATTAAAAAGAAAAAATATATAGTTTATTCTGCCAATATTTTCCTATAATTCTAATTATTTAATATACTTAATTATATAAGCTTTCCTGAAATATTCTCAATAGAATTAGATTCTTTTCAAATTATGAGAAACCCAGTTAATTTTTTTAGCCAAATAGGAATTACAGCATTTTTCCCTTCCAAAAGCCCATCCTAGATTATAAAATCATTATTATGATACATTTATGTTACACCCATTTTTTTACTCTATTAATATGCTTTTTTTTTTTTTTGAGATGGAGTTTCATTCTTGTTGCCCAGGCTGAAGTGCAATGGTGCGATCTTGGCTCACCGCAACCTCTACCTCCTGGATTCAAGCAATTCTCCTGCCTCAGCTTCCTGAGCAGCTAGGATTACAGGCATGCGCCACCACACCTGGTTAATTTTGTATTTTTTAGTAGAGACGGGGTTTCTCCACATTGGTCAGGCTGGTTACGAACTCCCAACCTCAGGTGATCCGCCCGCCTCGGCCTCCCAAAGTGCTGGGATTACAGGTGTGAGCCACCGCACCTGGCCAATATGAATTCTTAAGTCTAAATTTCAAGGGGGGTTGTGGGGAAGATATGCAGGTCTTTAAATTGTACTTATTCAATAACCTGACTTCAAAATTGAAAAAAAAAGGAAACAATGGTTTGCCATTACCTACCCATTAATGGTAATAGAGAACTTTTTTTTTCTTTTTGAGACAGAGTCTCACTCTGTTGCCTACACCAGGGTGCAGTGATGCGATCTTGGCTCACTGCAACCTCTGCCTCCCGGGTTCAAGCAATTCTCCTGCCTCAGCCTCCTGAGTAGCTGAGACTACAGGCAGATGCCACCATGCCCGGCTAATTTTTATATTTTTAGTAGAGATGGGGTTTTGCCATGTTGGCCAGGCTGGTCTCGAACTCCTGACCTCAGGTGATCCACCCACCTCGGCCTCCCAAAGTTCTGGGATTACAGGTGTAAGTCACCATGGCCGGGCAGTAATGGAGAACTTTCTAAAGCATCCAAATTTGTTTTTTTTTTAAGATGAGATTGCTACTGATAATTTTGTGTTTTGTTTTTTTAGAGACAGGCTCTCTGTCACCCAGACTGTAGTGCAGTGTTGCAATCACAGCTCACTGTAACCTCGAACTCCTGGGCTCAAGCAATCCTCCCCCATCAGCTTCCCGAGTAGCTGGAAATAGAGGGGTGCACCACCACACCCAGCTGCTACTGATATTAAACCCTTTAATCCACTGGGAGTGAAACAATGCTATGGCTTAGTTTGACTTGGTTAGTAGGTTATTTACTAATGACTAGAGCAATCAATTTACATTTACATTTTTAAAAATACAATAATTATTCTGACTGTTCTCAATTAACATGAATTCAAGGACTTGCGTATTCCTATGAGTGGAGCTAGATTTCTAGGGTTGTTAGCTCTTTATCAAATATCAGTATTTAAGGACCACAGAAAATTAGCACTGTTTCACTACAGCAGCATTTTCATCAGATTTTAATACCATCTTCACATCTGCTTATATGGATGAAGAAAGTTTCATATTAGATATTTTCCCATCGCAGCTATATATTTGCTTTATCAGAATAAATACACCTTCCAAATCACCTATTTTGAAACAATCTGAAGTTTTCTCTACTTTCAGACTTCATCACTGCTTAATATGCTTATATTCTAGACTGATAAATCATAGGAAATATAAACAATATAAAACCTTCAGGTAAGCTAATATCAAAATATTTACTGAAAACTTAAGAAGGGCTAGGCCTTGCGGGAACACAAAGGTAAACAAGACCTGGTCCATATTAAAAAACTAAGCCCACTGCATTCCTGTAGAGGTTCCCCAAATCCCACTTCCTTCTCCTTCAGTAATCCTTCATTTTTCATGACCATGTAAGTAGGTCCTCCAGGTAAGTGTCAGTCTCCTCTTGTTTGAAGGAAAAGAGCTCGTTAAGATACTGCTATCAATTTCTTGGGAGTCCTCTTGTTCTCCTTATTCACAGTCATTCTTCCGTGGGTAAGGTAGCCCTGAGAGTGTGAGTAGATGTGGGGCCACAATTCCTCACTGCCATAGCTAATGACCATAAAAACCATCTCACATATCTGATGCTTTCTTTTCTCAAGGTGGCTGAAAGTTCTAAACCGATGGAAAAATTATTCCAAGAAACCACTTTGTCTTTCTATTACCATGTCCAAACGAGACTGACAACAATCTCCAACTGTTGAAAGTCACAGGGGCAGTTTGTAGTGAAAATTGTCTCCAGTGACCTTGTAACTTACAGTAGCCCCTGTGAGAAACTAGGGTGCTTTTCAGTTATTTCTCCCCAACCAAAATATTTAAGAAACTTTTGTCAATATGTCCTTCTGTCCCACATCCCTGGCTTGTCCTCTGAGCAGCTGGACCTTTGCAATAAAACAGTTTCCCAAGAATTGATGGCCAAACCTTCTCCAATACTGTTATCCACTTACCCCAATTATCTACCTACCCTGACGAAAAAATTCACTAACCAAGAGAATCCCCAATTGCTTTTGGATGATTGGGAAGGCTTCTAATCATCTAGAACCCTCTCTTAGGTGTCACAAGAAATCCAGCTGCTCAGAAATTCCCAAACAAGCAATTCAGACTCTGAAGTCACCTCCTAAGCTAATAGAAACACAGGATTCTGGAGGTATGGATGAAGATATGGTGCTACTAATACATTTAATGTGGCTCCTGGTGCTGCCTCCATGGACTTGCCGTTAGGCCTAAGAAACACTTCCTGTTTGAAACAGGGATGTCAGGGTGTTCTGACTCAGTGTGTCACACCACGTGTCCCTAGAGTTGACATAGCTAATCAGGCAGTCCTGTTTCTTCCTTATTGCCCAGTGAATGCCCCTCCCAAGGCTACACAGGATAGATTAAGAACCTTCCCAGGTAACAAAGGAATGCTCTTTGGTAAAGGAGTAAAGGGTACAAGTAGCTAAAGCACCTGTGCTAGAAACTCAATGTGAGCTCACTCCTCTGGGGGGCTGTCTACTTGACCGAGATGTTGAGTAAGGTCTCCCCATAGGGTAAAAGTAACTCAAACAAGAACATGGTGGGATAACCACTCTGTCACGAAGCACATCTTGGCATATTGCTTCTTTAAGAAAGACTCTGGCTGGGTGTGGTGGCTCATGCCTGTAATCCCAGCACTTTGGGAGGCCGAGGCAGGCAGATCACCTGAGGTCAAAGTTCGAGACCAGACTGGCCAACATGGTGAAACCCGGTCTCTACTAAAATACAAAAATTAGCCAGGCGTGGTGGCAGGTGCTCAGAATCCCAGCTACTTGGGAGGCTGAGGCAGGAGAATCGCTTGAACCTGGGAAGCAGAGGTTGCAGCAAGCCAAGGTCACACCACCGCACTCTAGCCTGGGCGACAGGGCAAAATTCTGTCTCAAAAAAAAAAAAAGAAAAGAAAAACCCTGATCCCATTAACAGGATTCCAAGGTAAAGTCCCTCACACAGTGGCCACCTGAAACATGAAATGAGTTCCTAAACTCACCCAATTAGTTTAGTGAAATGCTAATAATAGCTGTTACATTTAACACACTCATACTCCCAGTAAAAGAATGTGTCTATCAACAGAGACAGAATCTAATATTATAATTCTCAGTTACAGACTTCTGAAAACTACATTCTAAGACAAGCTGGCTTCACTTAAGAACACTAATTGAAAGATCAGACGGAATCACAGCATAAATGAAAGGTGTACAGATAGACAATCTGAAAAAGATGAACTATCCTTGTTCTTAGAGAACTGAGGAAAAGCTTGTGAGAGAGAACTGGAGACATGGAAATCTTATCTAAACCTGCCCAGAGTTTAAAATTATTAACACACCAACAACTAATTAATCTTAATGTTTTGTTTTTCTTAGACCAAATGTTTAAAAGCACTCTTGCCTATCACTGAAGCTGAATCCGCCCAACACAGCAGCTTTATGTTAAGGTTACTGTGTGTTGTCAAACTATATTCCCAGCTCTATGAGCCCACAGGGCAAGGGAAAGGATTTTCATTTGCAAAACGAGAAGCAAAGGATGAATAGCCTTCTTTGGAATTTGATGGGATTAACTCCTACAATGCCGTCCTCCAGGAGAGATATAGAATATTTGGTCCTTCCCACACACTTTATAAGATCATCTGGTTGCTTAGCATTTCTACGTTGAGACTTTTTTTTAATTATAAAACAAATAAAAATATACAAGTAACTTTTAAAACAATTCCCCTAATTACCAGAAGAAACATTCTGCACACATTCTCCCCCTATTTCATTGTTTATAATGCCCAGAAAGGTGACCATAAGGCTTATCTCTGGAGTCCGCTCCAACTATAAATGTTAAGTAAGAGTTTGACACTGTAATATTGGTCTGGTTCTTGCCACAGGGGTGGGAACTAGCAGGAGCTGAGATGTTCATCATTTGGTGTTCTTACATCACAGGTGAATGGAAAAAGGCAGACAGAAGCAGCTGGCTTTGAGCTATCCATATGGGTGTGCAAATCTATGTGGCACTACCAGTTAATAGCAAGCAAAGAGGCACTTGAGCCAAGTCAAAAATACACTGACCTATGTGGAAGAATGATATAGTATTCAAGTTAAATAGAACGGTGACATCAATCAAAAGCTATAAATAAATCATTTTACACAGCAAAGTTGGGATGATCTATTGTACTGAGTTCACAGTGAAATATGCTTACTCATACAGCTCAGCAAGATTCTGAGTCCTTTTAATTCCATCACGAGCCTTACCTGCAAGCAGGTGAACAGAGTTGAAGCTCTTCTCCAGTTTACCCAGAAGTACAGTGAGAAAACAGTCTGAAGAGAGAGAGGCAACATCTTGGGAGCTTTGATCGTAAACTACAACCTTCTGACTGCAATCAATGTCAACCTGAAATGCAAACATGAGGCTTGTTAGGAAGAAGGTGAGAAAAGTAATCTCAAACTACTGCTTAAGATCTCACATTTACCAGTGCTGGGGCGAATAATTGCTTCCTGTTTTCAATTAATAATTTGAATAAAAATGAGATGTAGTCAATTTACGAGACAGACACATACAAAACTCTTAAAAACCAAAATGATGCTATTTCTGTGTAGGTGATCTCACGATTCCCTGGTTTTAAATCCTTTATACTATAAAATGGTAAAGTTCATAATAAACCAAACAATATGCAAAATAAACATAACCCTGGACCTAAACAAACTTTTTTTAAAATGACTTTTACACCTTAACAAAGAAATCAGTTGTTTATTTAAATTAAAACATGAGCTCATTTGTATTTGTGAAGAAAAAAACCAACTTCCTCACCACACAGACAACATTTTAGTATCCCAGGAATAACTTCCCTTGAAGATATCATTAAGTCTTGACCAATGTTACCACATGTGTTATGACACATAAAAAGCACCCCTAATAATTAGTTCCTACTTTCTTTCCAAAGAACTTGAAAAGAATGACTTTCCTTTCAGTAAATTTGCAGATAATATAGAATAGTGTTTAATAAAATCATTTTAGCAAGCCACAAGAAAATATAGCACTTGTCCAAACTAAAGCAAGTTAATCCTTCATAGTTTAGAAATATTATTAAATGTGGCAATATGGACAATAAATTATTTTGA
Source organism: Homo sapiens (assembly GCF_000001405.40). Taxonomy (NCBI): domain Eukaryota; kingdom Metazoa; phylum Chordata; class Mammalia; order Primates; family Hominidae; genus Homo; species Homo sapiens. The sequence goes on from NW_011332696.1 coordinate 489,732, forward strand.
GGTACCACAAGGCACCAAAATTTAAAAAGCAACCAAAACTTCCTCAAATTACTTTCTCTACTTAAAGAGGAGGCTTCAATTAAAATTATTCCTCATTCAGTGTGTCCATTTATTTTGAAAAGGCAAAAAGGAAAGCGTTTACCTTATGTTTCGCTGAATGCTGGATGAGCTCTGTAATTAACACTTTGTCCTGTTGCAACCTTCGCTTCATAAGCTTGGAGCAGTTGATATTAATGGCTTCCAAAATGTGGGATGTATTGTATTCCACAAATGGCCGGCTATCAATTAGCAGCACTTTTTCCGTTCCACTTTCCAGCAGAGCCACCAACCTCTCAGTAACAATTTGAGTTCCAATCATCTCATGGGCCATGACAACAATAAGTCCTCTTTTCCCACCTCCTTCTTTAATTTGCCACGATGATGTAATGGTGGTGTGCTCAAAGGCTCAGCCACTCCATTGTACTAAAAGTGTATGAGGTCAGGCTGGTGGTGACTGGCAAAAGGAGAGTTAAACCCATTTTCAGCAAGAGCCCTCCAAGTGAATGTCTCTTTCTCTTTCCCGTTGATGTGCTCTTGCAAAGGACTCCGTCCACAAAGCAGCCCCTCACATTTGATTCATAAAGAGATGACTGGAATAACCATTCCACAACAAAAGATGCTTTGGAGCAGCCAGCGCATTACATCATTCTTTACCTTTGCTCCCGCGCTCCAACAGCTTTACACTGGACTGAAAGCCTACGCGGAGAGAGAAAGACAGAAAACAAAACGTGAGGTCAAAAAAAGAAGAAAGAGTGTCAGATTAGAGAGAGTGTATGATTCATAATATTTACTCCATTAATCTAATTCCATACTTGATGCACTGCTTCATTTGAACAAACAAATAAAAAGGACAAATTGGTATGGCTTCAGAAAAATGTGCTAGTGATAATTCCATTTTACCTCAAAATGTAAAAACTCAAAGAAAACAAAACAAGACATATCATGAATTATAATCACCTAGGGCTCAGAACTAAATGACCTGTAGTATTGAATTAAAAGGGCTACAAAAAGCTGCTTGAAGTATTATTATTCCAAATAGTTTTCCTATATTTTATTTGCTTATTTATTGAAATCCCACAAAGAATGGCAGCTGAGGACAAAGTTAGCAATCCTGTGTTACCAGGACAAAAAAAAAAATATTTTCTGAAATGGCTTGAGAATTCCTGCGATGAATGGGTAGGTGTATATGTGTGTATGTGTGTGCACATGTGAGCTCACGCGAGTACCAGGGCGCAAACAGCAGCCTTTTAAAATTGCCCTCACGGAGGAGAGAAGATGCAGGAAAACTGGAGTTTCTATAAATTTCAGCTATCTTTTAAGGAAGAGGAAGGACAAAAACAACTGATATGTTTGTCACAGCAGCTGCTGAGCTAGGCCTGTGAAGTGCTGAAGCTCACAGCCATGGCCCTGTCATGTCTCCTTCCGGAGGCCATCTCCCTACCACCAAGTTGCTTAAGGCCCTGTAAGCTTATCCTTCACTTTTTCCTGCTTCATTCTTCAGAGAATCACTAACTCCTAGTCTTAAAAAAATCTCACCCCTTAACCTGGAACTCTAAGTTGGCAACCCAGACATAGAGAGCCCTTAAAGCTGAACCCAGTGCTTCCCTTTCTTGCCAAACTCCTTTAATCAATCACTTTCTAATTAACACTAGTTGAAGTTTTGCGCTTATTGCTTGGACTTCACCTTGACCTTCAATACTCTCGGATTCCTATCTCCCCTGGTCCATCTCTGCTTATATGAAATCCTCTACTACATAAAACTACATGTCTACTTCTGGCACTGAACTTCTAGAGGGTAAATTTTTTTTTTTTTTGAGACAGGGTCTTGCTCTGTCACCCAGGCTGCAGTGCAGTAGCACAATCTCAGCTCACTGCAACCCCTGCCTCTCAGGCTCAAGTGATTCTCCTGCCTCAGCCTCCCAAGTTGCTGGGACTACAGGCGCGCACCACCACACCCAGCTAATTTTTGTACTTTTTGTAGAGACAGGGTTTCGCCATGTTGCCCAGGCTGGTCTCAAACTCCTGGGCTCAAGCAATCCACCTGTCTCAGCCTCCCAAAGTGCTGGGACTACAGGTATGAGCCACCGCACCCAGCCTAGAGGGTAAATATTTGATTGCAAAAGTTTATTATATTTCTTACTTCTACAGTACTTTGGACATAACATACTCAATATATTATTATAGTAGGTAAATTCTTCCTTGTTCCAAAAACAGTTTAAGATTCTAAATAAATATTTGATTAGCTGATTTCAGGTCAGGATGTCAGAGCCTTTAAAAACCTTTAGATCATGTTTCCTAATTTTGTACTTACAAATTAGAAGCTAAAGCATGGAGACAGAAGGTGGAGCATGATATAAAGAGATGTAGCTTTGCCATTTACTTATGCAACCTTGGACAAATCACATAACCTCTCTAAACCACAGTTTCTTCACCTACAAAATGGAGACATTATAGTGGCCTCATCTCTTCAAATTTGGTCTGAGAACAAAATTATCTAATTTATTGAAAGCTGGTAAATAAAAAAGCAACTATGCATCATAGACAGGAGGAAAAATACCCTACAGATGCCAATGGCAAACAAAGCTGGCTTGCATCTGGCATCTGAAAGACATCACTCACAGATAAAAACAGATGTAATTCCATCCTCCTATAGTACAGCTGCAACCAAACTGTGCCCTTTCTCACAGAGGCTGACACACAGGGAGTTAGAAGGCACCTGAGATACTGTCTCAACCACACCATATTTTACAAACCAGCTCCATTTAATACATTATATTTCCATTTCTTATTTTCCAAGAAACAACTTTCATTAATGTATTATTTTTAGCATAGCTTTATGGTAATGAAGTACAAAAGTCATCTCTATTTTCAACTGAAGGAACTATAAGAGAGAATTTGTCCTAGTCAATCCACTAATAAACTTCTGCAAAGCGCCTACCAAAGCCATACCACTCAATCAGGTTCTGCCTGCTCAGTGACAGAGTTCACGGCAATGTAAGGTCCTGTATTCAGATTGTCTGATTCCCAAACCAGGGCTTCTACTACTGGGTTGCCCTGTTTTCCCTAAGTACTTGTTCCCATAATGGAACTGGACTGGGAAAGAATGATGCCAATTGTCCATGAGGGTACCCAGGTGGCACAGAAAGTGGAAATCCGAGAACAAGAGCAAGTTGATTCCAACAATGGCACTGGGTCTCTGAGTCTGATTGGCTCCTCTCAAAGAGATAAAATCCGGATGGGACAAAGCAGTTATCTGGGTTAGCAGATCAAGGGACAAAAGGAGGGAGAAGTCAGCAAACATGCAAAAGTTGAATTAGAAAGTTCTCATCTTTGCTTCCCCTCAGCCAATTCTCATAAACCCAAAGACAGGTTACAACAAACAGTTCTACAGAGCAGAGAATGTCATTCTTGCCCAGAGAATCAGAGCTTAGTTACAGATATAAAAAGACCCTTTCCCTGACCAAGAAAGGCTCTGGTCAAAGTGACTCTAAGCTGAGGATGTAAGTGAAGCATAGGGGTAAAAGTGAAGTGAGGGTGAAGTTCCATTCTTTCAGTGCTGTACTGAGGCCAGCTGGAGTCCTCCTGGTAGGACTTCATGCCCAAGGTCTAATTCTCTGTAGTGCTAAATGGGTGAGGTGAGAGGCAGAGCCCTGCCAAGGGATCATGGAGGGTAAAGTAACAATGGCCTTAATCTCTTTCATTTACAGTTAGAGAATTTTGGTTAAATCTCCATCACTGGCTATGAGTCTAATTTTAAAAATTTCTCTGTAGTTACTGTTTTGTTTTCAAAATCCTTTGCATTAGGTAAGATTTGAAAGATGACAAGAGAATATTTTGCTTGCAACATCACCAAGCTAATCTTACCCAGAATTTCTATAAGTCAAGGGGAATAAAAATTTTTACAATGAACCACAAAGGCTCAAGTCCATAGAACAAAATCCAGAGCAGACCAGCTTTGCTATTTATCTATTTATTTAGCCAGCTGCTAAAGTTGAAATACTTTCTTTAGATTTTTAAATAGGTAATATATTCATATGGTTCAAAAAAAGTCTAAAAATGTATACATAGTATGAACGTGTACAGTTTATTGTGTCACTTATACATCAATAAAGGTGTTTAAAATTGCCACGATATTGAAACTTCAGCAAATACATTTAAATAAAAAAAAACTAAATATATTCATAATCCTTCTTCTACCATTATCCTCCATCTGCCTGGGTCCCAACCCTGCCCTCTAACTGGTAACAACTTTTAGTAGTCTCATCTAATTTATTCCAAAGATTTTTTTAAATTAATATAGAATGAAGCACAAATATACACACTTTTCCTTCTCTTTGTTCAAATGGTTACAAAGTATAGACACTGTCTTGCATCTTGCTTTTTCTTTCACTTACAGTACTTGAATCTCATTTTTTTCAACATTTAATTAGAAAATGAATCAATCTATATTTCCATGGGCCTTGCATATATGCATGTCTGGAAATCTAAATAAAACATGTAGAAATTCTTTTTTTTTTTTGAGACAGAGTTTCACTCTTATTGCCCAGGCTGGAGTGCAATGGCGCATCTCGGCTCACCGCAACCTCCACCTCCCAGGTTCAAGCGATTCTCCTGCCTCAGCCTCTCCAGTAGCTGGGATTACAGGCATGCGCCACCACACCCGGCTAATTTTGTATTTCTAGTAGAGATGGGGTTTCTCCATGTCAGGCTGGTCTCGAACTCCCGACCTCAGGTAATCCACCTGCCTTGGCCTCCCAAAGTGCTGGGATTACAGGTGTGAGCCACTGCATCCGGCGAAATTCTTAAACTTAAAAGATAACTCCAGCTGGGCATAGTAGCTCATGACTGTAATCCAAGCACTTTGGAAGGCCAAGGCAGGAGGATCACTTGAGTCCAAGAGTTCAAGACCAGCCTGAGCAACACAGTGAGACCCTATCTCTACAAAAAATTAAAAATATATGTATACACACACACACACACACACACACACACACAATTTTCCCCCCTAGAATTACATACTAGAGTACCTAAGAAGCTGACAAGTAACTCATAATAGTGTGCTCAAAAGGTTAGCAAATTAAATGCTGGGGGTCACCACAGCTGGCCTGTTTTATGACATACTAGTTAGAGAGTACCCTCTATAACTACTCTGGCTTAAAAGAAAGTTAAAATGTGATGGTGAACATTCATGAAGTTATGGAAATTATCTTTTAAAGGATAACCTAAAGTCAGCAAGGCAGTATTTATCAAACTGAAGACTGGTAACCTTAATCAGGGCTACTACACAAAAAACTGCAAAGTATCCCAAGTTCAAAATAAAGGTTTTAAAAGACTATCTAGGAATAAAGATAAACTGAGTCAACATCTTAGTATAACAAAATGACTACAGATCATGGAAGAAAATCAGCAAATCTCCTAAAGAAATACCATTTCTGGTATATTTTTACCTTTCAGCAAATGATTTATGTTTTATATTTTATAATATTTAACACAAGTTGTATAACAACTTTCCCCCTTTAATATACAATTTTGTCTGTTTTTATATGTAATTTATTTTTATTTAGATTCCATTTGGTTACTTATGGAAATGTATTTATGACTATAACAGAAATCACTGGAGTTTTATTTCTTGAAATTCACTCTATATCCAACTCTGCACAAATACGGTGTATCAATGAAGTATGCTACTGAATAAGTTATGTTTAAGAACTGTAAGTCTATTTTTATGTTAAAGTGAACAGGTAGGGCCTGTTTCAACTAAGAGAACAACATAAAGTCTGTATAAAACCAGTATTTGCCATTAATTACTTAAAAGGAAAATGTTTTGTTTCGATTTTTATTACTTGTACACTTCAAAATTTGTGCCTAGCCAGAGAATCCTTTTTTTAAGATTATTTTTACGTGATTATATTAAGGATCTTCTTCTGCTTCCCAGATGATTTTTCTCTTCAACTTCCCAAACATGATCCTGGGTTCTAGGTCAGTCATACTGACACTGACTATATCCCACTCAGAAAAAAAGTGATAATCGCTCACACACACAATTTTTTTCTTTCTACCCATGGGTTATTTTCTGCTGGCAGCAATAGTTTCATCTGCTACTGCTACTGCTGCCCTAAAACACCCACTCCCAAGGCCTGCATCAAGGCCCACAGCAGGGGATGGGGCTCCAGGAGGAAGCGGGGGGTCCCACTCAGAGAGGCACAACTCCATTTTAAACATTTTCTTTTACAAAGAGAAATTATCAGGGAAAGGAAAAGGATCCCATAGCTATGGGGTGCTTAACAGGCCTGTTGAGTGAGGAGAGGGATTTAGTTTTATTTGGTTGGGCTAGAGCTCAAGTTCAAATTCTCAGTTTATGGAAAGGATATAATCAGGTGAGAAGTTTACTTTTATTAAACTACAAGCCTGACTTAAATTTTTTCCCTCCAACAAAACTGAAGAAACAGGCAACAAGATATACCGAAATGCCTTTCAATAGAGCCCTAAACACAGGCTTTCAATAACAGGAAAAAAACCAATCAAAAGGGAAAAAAGGAGACTATCATATCTGCAAGCAAACAAGAACTCCTTAGACTTTGACTGCCTCAATGCTACACAGATTAAAGCAACTTTATCTCATAAGCTGTGGGTTAAGATAAACTTGATAGAAATTCTGAGCTCTGGTATTTGGCAAATATATTCAATTAAAAAAATAAAAACAAACACAAAAAACCACCCTCACCAAAATCAAGAAAGCTAAGAACTTGGTGCGGCAAACCACCATGGCATGTGTATACCTATGAAACAAACCTGCATGTTCTGCACATGTACCCCAGAACTTAAAAGTATAATATATACTTTATAATATGTACTTTTATTTATAAAAGTATAAAACAAAGTAAAACTACAAACTTAATGTGCTTTTTAGCTGCCTATTAATGTCTGATCATATTTCCTTACCCAAAAATTGAGGACACATATTCTGACAAGTGATGGCAATAATGAGACTGCTTGAAGCAAAACTATTTAGATGATACTAGACCTGGAGACAGCAGTTATCCGCACCGTAGAACCCAGTTGCCTCGCACTGACATACCACACTGTTGAAAGCCGCCCCTCCAATCAGAGGTTCAGGTTGTTTACATACATCTCAAGGACCCACAGATAAAGGCTGGAATAGCAGTCAGCCTTCAAAGACTACCTATAATGCCTGCGCTTTTAGGCACAGGCCAGCCCAGGCAGAGGCCAAATCTGTGAGAAGCCTTCACCAAAGTTTCTGTTCAGGGCAAGGAGCACTCCCCTCCTGGTATTGGCTCAATCAGAGCTCTTGTCTTTTTCTTAGTACTGCTTCCTGTTTATGATCACCTGTTTCACCCGCTTCCCCTTCCCTGACCCACCTGAGCTCTCCTCCTCCTTCCCCCTCCCAACCTTCCTCTTTCCCTCTGCCACCCATGTATGTATCCTAGACACACTCCTCCTGGCCCACAGGCTCCTTCACCTACCCCTCTACACTTAATGCTTCCTCCAGACACGCTGCCTGAAAACTCAGGACCCTACCTACTGGGAGAGGGGCCGGTGTATGGAGGTGGTCTTGGGAGGGTAGAAATGGAAGGATCCCTGGATGAAGTTACTGGGCAAGAGGAAATACGGCCAGGGATTGGCTTAATCTGAGAATTGAGGAGAAAATGTTTTAGAAGGGTATTTTCAGTAAAGGTAGGCTGGAGGCAGGAGAAGAAAGATTTAGAACAAGCCAAACAGAGGTCAGATGGGGATTAATTCGTGCATCCTGGTTTTCTTGAACATCTGCCAAATCACTATAATTCATCAGGCCTACTGTAACTAATTCAGTCAACTAACAAGTACTTATTTGGCACCTAATATGTGCCAGGCACTGTGAAAATGTAGCAATAAATGAAAAAAGTATTCATTATAATTTATAAGTTATTAATGTACTGCCTGGTTATAAATTAACAAGGCAAAAATTACTGCCTTTCTGGAGCTTCTAATTTAGTGATGGGGGACACGATCAACAACAAAAACAAAACATTTCCTATGATAGACGCCGATAAGAACTAGGGAGAAAAAATAGAGCAAGAGCAAAGGGTGTGCGGGGGTGGCTGTTAAATTGTAAACAGAGTAGTCACAGAAGGCCTTACCTTGAGAACATGAGAGAGGAGAGTGGTAAGAGACTGAGCTATGTGGATACCTGGAAGATTGTAGCTTTCTGGGGCCAATGAATATACTAGCCAAGATAATGCTGAATTGGGCAAATACCAATAAAAGATGTGGCAGGTGTTCATGCTTTGTTCAGAACTATGGTTATATCTATTGGAAATGATGCATTTCCAGGAAACTGAACTTTTGTTTTTGTTGTTTTTTGAGACAGGGTCTTGCTCTGTCACCCAAGGCTGGAATGCAGTGCTATGATCTCAGTTTACTGCAACCTTCAACTCCTGGGCTCAAGTGATCCTCCCACTTCAGTCTCCCAAGTAACTGGGACCACAGGCATGTGCCACCACACCTGGCTAATTTTTATTTCTTGTAGAGACGGGGTCTCACTGTGTTGCTTAGTCTGGTCTCAAACTCCTGGGCTCAAACAATTCTCATACATTGGCCTCCAAAAGTGCTGGGATTACAGGCGTGAGCCACTGTGCCCGGCCAAACTTTTTAAATTAATGGATAAAACTGTATGTATTTATCATGTACAACACGATATTCTGAAGTAGATATACACTGTGGAATGGTTAATTCTACTAACAAGTGCATTACCACACATAGCCATCATTGTTGTGATGAGAACACTTAACATCCACTCCTTGAATTTTTCAGGAATACTATATATCCTCGTTAACTGTGGTCACCATGCTGTACAATAGATCCTTGAACGTATTTCTCCTAAATAATTATTTACTTTCACCAACATCTCCCCAGGCTTCCCCTCCCCATTAAACATCCCAGCCTTTGGTAACCATTCTACTCTCTACTTCCATGAGATCAACTTTTTCAGCTCCCATATATGAGTGAAATTACACAGTATTTGTCTTCCTGTGTCTTGTTTATTTCACTTAACACAATGTCCTCCAGGTTCATCCATGTTGTAGAAAATGACAGGATTTCCTTATTTTTTAAGGCTGAATAGAATTTCATTGTGTACATATATACCACGTTTTCTTTATTCATTCATATTTTGATAGACGCTTAGGTTGATTCCTTATCTTGGCTATTGTAAATAGCACTGCAATAAACATGGGTATGCAAACATCTCATTTTCTTTACTCAGTAATGGGATTGCTGGATTATATGGTGGTTCTATTTTTAATTTTTTTTGAGGAACCTCCATAGTGTTTTCCATAATGGCTATAAATAGTTCATATTTCCACTAACAGTGTATAAGGGTTTTCCTTTCTCCACATCCTTACCAACACTGATCTTCTGTCTTTTGAAAACAGCCATACTACCAGGAGTGGGATACTATCTTACTGTGGTTTTAATTTGCATTTCTCTGATGATGAGTGATGCTGAGCATTTTTTCATAGACCTGTTGGCCATTTGCATGTTTTCTTTGAAAAATGTCAGGTCTTTCACCCATTTTTCAACCAAGTTACTTGCTTTCTTGCCATTGAGTTGTTGGAGTTCCTGATGTTTTTGAGGTATTAACTATTTATCAGATGTATAGTTTACAAATATTTTCTCCCATTCTGTAGGTTGTCTCTTCACTCTGTTGACTGTTTCCCTTGCAGTGCAGAAGCTTTTTAGCTTGACATAATCCCATTTGTCTATTTTTGCTTTTGTTGTCCATGCTTTTGAGGCAGGCAATTGAACTTTTAGCTTCAGTGTGAAAAAACATATATATAAGAAAATTTAGTACAATTTCTTCCTTAAAACTACAAAGAGAGAAACTGTGGTTCCTATACAGTGCATTTCTTGGCAAAGAAATGAAAAGAAATCCTGTAACAAGAAAGATTACTATTAATGTTAATATTATACATTTTTTCCAACCCCACAAGTGTGTTGTATCTACTAAGAGAATCTTAGTTTTACAACATGGAATGTAGTAAAATATCAAAGACACATTAAGCAAGATATATGTGTGAAAAAAGTCTATACAAGGAGGTAGTTTAAAGGATCTTTACATTAAAAATTTTTTAAATGCTTTCAAGGTTCTCTCCTTGTCAGAAGGATCAAATACTTAACACAAGGCCTTTACAAGTTAGATTACTATATTGAAGGGGTTGATAACACTAAAATAAGTTTATAATCTTTATCTATTAATATATGCACCCCCTCCTTTAGTCCACACCAGCCCCAGAACAACAAAATTCCAATACATGAAAGATATAGTATACTTTGTTGACAAAGAACTAATTGACTAAAGGTATTAAGACCAGAGTAAACATCTGAACAATTTGGAACACAGTCTAAGGGGAGAGGGGTTATAATTTAATTTTTCCAAACAGGACTGGAAGGCTCTAGGAGCAAGCAATGGAATGCAACACCGACACCAAACTTCTCACCCACCTGCACTCAAGCTCAAGCTCACAATAGTAATATTCCATAATTTAATCTATTTTAAATCTCTTAGTACTAAAATAAATAAAATTAGAATGCTGAACTACATTCTCCTGAAGATAATTTCAAAATGGCTCACAGAATAAATTCAAAGTGACTTATGGCTGGGCATGGTGACTCATGCCTGTAATCCCAGCACTTTTTCCCAGAATTTTTCCAATGCCAAAAGTGTGTTGTATCTACTAAGAGAATCTTAGTTTTACAATATGGAACGTAGTAAAATATCAAATACATGTTAAGCAAGACATATGCATGAAAAAAGTCTACACAACAAGGAGGTAGTTTCAAGAATCTCCTTTAAACTACTTTTGGGAGGCCGAGGTGGGTGGATCACTTGAGGTCAGGAGTTCAAGACCAGTCTGGCCAACAGGGCGAAACCCCGTCTCTACTAAAAATACAAAAATTCACCAGATGTGGTGGCATGGGCCTGTAATCCCGGCTACTCGGGAGGCTGAGGCAGGAGAATCGCTTGAACTTGGGAGGTGGACACTGCAGTGAGCCGAGATCACACCACTGCACTCCAACCTGGATGACAGCGTGAGACTCATCTTAAAACAAGGCCGGGCGCGGTGGCTCACGCCTGTAATCCCAGCACTTTGGGAGGCCGAGGCGGGTGGATCATGAGGTCAGGAGATCGAGACCATCCTGGCTAACAAGGTGAAACCCCGTCTCTACTAAAAATACAGAAAATTAGCCGGGCGCGGTGGCGGGCGCCTGTGGTCCCAGCTACTCGGGAGGCTGAGGCAGGAGAATGGCGTGAACCCGGGAAGCGGAGCTTGCAGTGAGCCGAGATTGCGCCACTGCAGTCCGCAGTCCGGCCTGGGCGACAGAGCGAGACTCCGTCTCAAAAAAAAAACAAAACAAAGTGACTTACAAGAAAGTGCTTTATCTTTCAGTTAAAATACACATGAAAAAATACTGGAAAAGGCCTACATGTATAAGAAAGGGACAGACTGGCTTAAGTAACTTATAAATTATGATAAATCCTGCAACATGGTATGCAACATTTAAAAACGATGGTGTAAAAATATACTTATTGACAGCCAAGGATGGTCATGATATATTGAGAATAAAGTCAAGTCTCAGAACAGCTAGGTAAAATAGAACCTCAAACACCCACAGGCATACAAACACATACGATGGATATGTATAAAACATAGTAATAGTTTTACTTAGGTAATTAAACGTAATTGTCATACTCTTTTCCATAACCTTGGAAATTATGAAAAATATTAATATAAGGTCATGACATACATTCAGACCCAGGAACTATTACCAGGTCCTACTGTACTCCTTCTTCTCAGGACCATTATAAAAGTTTGGGTGGGCAAAGGTTAAGAAGATGAGAACTGGGCACAGTGGCTCATGCCTGTTATCCTAGCACTTTGGGAGGCCAAGGCGGGCAGATCACCTGAGGTCAAGAATTCGAGAACTACTTGGCCAACATGGTGAAACCCCATCTCTACTAAAAATACAAAACTTAGCTGGGCGTGGTGGTGCATGCCTGTAATCCCAGCTATTCGGGAGGCTGAGGCAGCAGAATCGCTTGAACCTGGGAGGCGGAGGTTGCAGTGAGCCGGGATCGCTCCATTGCACTCCAGCCTGGGGGACGAGAGCGAAACTCTGTCTCAAAAAAAAAAAAAAACAAAGAAGATGAACAAATGTAATGTATGGAAATTAATGTTTACCCTCAAGGTAAAAGCTGAAATGGATTTATAAAGAATTATTTTAAACAGCAATAATGTTTGAGGGGTGGGGGAAGTGAGAAAAATGAAATTTTAAATCACATGTTTATGACTATGAAGCTAGACTTTAAAAATAGGTCAGTTAGGGTATGACTCTTATAATACAAAAGTTTATTTGGTATACAAAGGATTTATAGCTAATGTATTTTTTAATTATATTCACTAATACTTGTAAAAGATCATTCAATTTATAAAGTTTCCAAAATAAACCTGTTTAAAGTGTCACAAATGCAACGCAAGATGACTTTCATTGCTCTCACTTGGAAAAGTGCAAATTCCTCTAACAAAGTATATGCAATGGCTTCGTCACTATTCTCAGCTCCTAAGCAGACATGCACAACAAGGTTTGAACACATTCCAGGCGTGGCCTTCAAGCCCGGACCACACCTGCTTCCAAGGCCCTGCGGCTAAAAATAACTCTGGGGCCTCAAAAATGGGACACCAGCCAGGCCCAGGGGTAGCTGCAGGCCCCTTGCTCAGCTTCAACAGCAAAAGCAGGAGCTACAAAAACTCTAAAATCACAGAACACTCCACCACAGGCTTCCTTCTCTCAGTCTCTTTGTGCCAGTCACCTACAACCTAGGCCTGCTCAGTTTCTTTGCTCCATGAGGGCAAAACTAACCCTAGGAATTTAGAGACAAGTGAGGTTATTGTTTTTAAAAGATACTGTGGACTAGGACTCAGGAGACCTTGTTCCTAATTTCAACTCATCTACTAAAATGCTAAAATGGCGTATACAGTGTCACTTGACATTCCCCAAGCCTGTGTTTTTCCTACTTGTATAATGAGGAATTCAGTGATCACTAATATCTAAAGATTATTTCACTTAGAACAAAAAGATATTGCTGTAAGTGTGCCTCAGTTCTCAGCAAAGTCTCCTAACAGGGACAGGGCTGACTTATCATTAAGCAGTCATATTATGGTGTGAGAGTTTATACCCTACAACACACAAACTAAAACGGGTAACTCTGGGGTAACTGTTCCAGGTAATTCCTTTGTGACAGGGGATTTTCAAGGCTTGCTCTGAGCAACTATTTCCACTTCTCTTCCAATCCCACAGTATGCAGGAGACCCCTTTGGGGATTTTGTTACTCTACCAGGTAAGGAAAAAAGAAAGGGCGGCCAGGTAGCAGAGAAAGATGCAGCAACAGCATCGCTGTTCATTCACTGCAGGATCCTAGTCTGTGCTAATTTAAGTCATTGCATCTGTCCGCACACTTCCCCCTGCTGGGGCCCTGGAAGTTAATGATATCAGGAAGCTGTATCAGGAGCAAAGTACCACAAAGTGACAGGCCAAGACCTAGGCTGAAGAATCACAGCACCACAGGAAAGCAAGGACACTAAAGGCTAGCGGAGTAGCCCCAGACGGGAGTCGGAACATTCTCTGTCCTCATCCCTTGGTTATTTTTTCCACTTTGTCCTTTCCACTGTCTTTTTCTATAATTCGGCTCCATCACATCATCTAACTGTAGTTTCTGGACCCTTCTTTTGTCCTTAGAGGCTTTGCTGTTTCTTCATCCTCATATTCATCTTAATTTCTCTCTTCATGAGTATAACCAAGCCTCTTCCTGTCTGATGTTAAGCTCTTATCATACATTCATTTTCTATTTTTTGAGGAGGAACTGCCAAGTCCCTTGATGTACTGCTATTATAACAAGTAATATTTTCCAGACTGGTTTGAGACAGTCACCCGTGAATTCAGGTATTTTATCATCTATCAGCCTTTAAAATCTTTGATTTGTTACTCTAAAAAAAAGTTTTATTTTGGAGGAGAAAGGTAAAATTTTTCCAGTTTGGTGTTTCACACATGGTTGGTTATACTAAGTAAAGATCATCAATTCAATATTTTACATTTATATTAGCCCTTAAATACCTCATGTTCCAGATACTAAGTCAGACTTCCACCTAAGCCTCACAGGAAGACACAAATTCTCAGGATTTTCACACTAGATTATTTAGAAAACAAACAAGATCTGAATTATTTTATAATCTAGTGCTCAGATTCTAAAAGCAGAAATAACCTCTGCACATGCAGAAAAAGCTGGCTTCATCAAGAGTCTGCCTGGCACATTAGGACGGACACCTGTGCCAGTGCTCAGCCGCTCAGCCCTGCCCATCCTCCTCCACCAGCCTCGGTGAGCTGTTAGTTCTCCTTACCTCAGCTCCCAGTAACGCTGTTGTCTGATTCTTTAGAAGGGTTTCCCAAACAATCTTAATAGCAAAACAAATAGTAATGGGCTATATCCCATAGAAGAAGATAAATATCAATGAGTCTAAGGGGAAAAAAATTTTTTTTTACAAAACATCTGCTTCTACAAATCAAAGTTTGAGAGAATGGTGTTTCTATTTGCTATTCTTTTTTATTTTTTCTTTTTTAAGAGGTTATTCTGTCATTTTTACACAGTACTATACTTGGCCCTCTATAATTCTGGGTGTAATGTCAGTTGGGTTCAGGCACATTACCTGCAGCAGCAACAAACACCTTCCTATCAAAGTCTCAATTTCCCACTCTAAAATACCAATATGTCAGTGTTGAAGTTAAATTAGGTTTCTAACCCAATGCAGGGAAAAAGAGAATTGATGGCAAGTCCTTGATATTAATTAGTTGAGTAAATGTTGAAAATGACATTTTGAACAAATATGAAAAGATAACATGCCGGTCAGATGTCCAGCAAGCCAAAGAGAAAGGCTTCCTGAAAAATGTAAATTTCAAAGAGAGTTTTGAAAGAAAATAGGGACATGAACCAGCAGAGAGAAGAGAGGAAGATGATTCCAGATGCAGAAAACGCATGAGCAAAGACAGAGGGATAACAAACTGTATGCAGGCTTTCCTGGCTACAGATTATGTCAACAAGTAACAAAATAAGTTGGTAGAGTAAAAGGGGCTAGATGGTAAAGAATCCTGAAGTCTAAAGCCATCTAGGCCACTGTACGCTTTATGAAAATAACATAAGAACACTACTAAGAGAATTTCACTCTGGTAACTCTATTCAGAATGGACTGAGGTGAGAATAGATTTAAGGAGACTGACTGACTAGTCTCCTTACAGTACCATACAGTTTTAGTTGCCTATGGATGCGCTCAGTCTAGAATGGTAACTATAAAACCTGAGAGCCAAGAGACTGTTAATAGTCTAAATCCAAGGCAATGTGCCTGGCACAAGATATACCCTTATTATATGTCATGGGCACTGAAAGTACCCATGAAAATGGCTATCTAGACTACATGATTGAATTATTGCACCAGAATAATATCTGAAAATATCTCAATGTCTTATTCTGTCCCAGCTTCACATAAGCTAATGTAAAGCAAAATGAGCACTATGTACAGGCTCAAGTTTTACTAATTAGGTCATTGTTTATAAACCAGAATAATTAGACATAATAAAAGGCTGAAATAGGCCGGGCACAGTGGCTCATGCATGTAATCCCAGCACTTTGGGAGGCCGAGGCTGATGGATCACCTGAAGTTAGGAGTTCAAGACCAGCCTGGCCAACATGGTGAGACCCTGTCTCTACTAAAAATACAAAAATTAGCCGGACATGGTGGCACATGCCTGTAATCTTAGCTACTCAGGAAGCTGAGGCAAGAGAATTACTTAAACCTGGGAGGCAGAGGTCGCAGTGAGCCAAGATCGCTGCCATTGCAATCCAGCCTGGGCAACAAGAACGAAACTCCATCTCAAAAAAAAAACGCCGATGCGGTGGCTCACACCTGTAATCCCAACACTTTGGGAGGCCGAGGTGGGCGGATCGCCTGAGGTCGGGAGTTCGAGACCAGCCTGACAAACATGGAGAAACCCCCATCTCTACTAAAAACACAAAAATTAGCCAGGCATGGTGGCGCATTCCTGTAAGCCCAGCTACTCGGGAGGCTGAGGCAGGAGAATTGCTTGAACCCAGGAAGTGGAGGTTGCGGTGGGCCAAGATCACGCCACTGCACTCTATCTAGCCTGGGCAACAAGAGCAAAACTCCATCTCAAAAAAACAGGCTGAAATAAAAGGCTGAAAAATAGGTAGACTCTGAAGGTTGACATTTCTTCAAGGATGACTTTCTTCAATATATTTTTCTGTAATTTCTAAGTTTCCTATTTTATAGATAACTTTCATAACAGAAAACTATATATATTTTTAATAAGACGTAACTCATGTCATGTCATGAAAAAAAGATGTGGAAGTCAAAGTGAAACCTAAATGAATTTTAATACACTATCATGACATTCATCCAACAGTGACTATAGTGTGAGCAAATTTTTAAAAAGTTTTTAAATGTAATTACATAGCCCTATGACAGCAATGCTACAAGGTAAAAGACATTCATATGTATTCTACACAAAGCAATATAACTATATATGATTCAGTACCAGGCAATGTTCCTTTGCCAAATGTAACCTTCAGTATCAAAGAACACATATTCAAAATTAAAATTATAAGCAAAATCATTACAAATACAGTAAGCTTGCTATTGATGAAACTTAATATAAACCAGACCATAGAACTGTCTATTAAGAAACTCAATGGCTAAATGCCAAAATATCTAATTTCACCATCTCATCTAAAACATAGTCCACGGCATAGACCCTAAAAATATGCTCACAAAGCTCCACAGTCTAATTCTCTACTGGACAGATTATGAAATACATTCAAAAGAAACCTATCACCATTTGCTATCAACATATTTAAGTGTCACATAAGCATCACTAAGTATCAGAGACTGAAAGCCCCTCTAAGTAGAACACGATAATAAATGTTCAGTTTTTTCTCTTGCAAATAGTGTTCATTCTTCTAATTCTGGGGTGTGGATCTTAGCTAATCTATAAAACTCCAGGAAAAAAATTAAATGAGTTAGTAGAATATATATATATATGTTCATTTATCGAGCACCAACTAGATTCAATTTCCTATAGCACAATTTCCCACTTTTGCCTGATCACAAGAATCACTTAGAAACTTGATAAAAATGCCCAACCAGGCCCACCTCTGGAGATTGATTCGTGGGTCTAGAGTGGAACCTGTGAATTTGCATATTTAACAAATGTCCCAGGAGGTTCAGAGAATCAGGCAGGTTTGAAAACATGCATCCCCGTGCGCCACCACGCCTGGCTAAAGACATCTATCCTAAAGACATCTTTGGTCTTTCTCTCAATGTTCACATTTAATCAGTTGTCAAGACCTACTGATTTTCAGTCTCTCTTACCTGGAGGACATAGAGGCATAAAAGCTGGATTTGAGTTGAAAATAATGGTAAGAGGAGAAATGGGAAGTCAGTCATGTCACGTCATTAAAGAAAGTCAGAGACTACTGAAATTTCATAGCCAAAGAAGGACTTCCACTTAGTCTAGTGCATGTCTTCTGGCAAGTTAATAATGTCCCTTTTACAAAATGTTACATATTTATTCAAAGTCACACTATTCATCAGTGGTAAAAGACAGAAAATAGCTTCTAGGGAGTGTGCTTTCCACAACCCTAGAGAGCTTACCAAACATTCTGCAAATTTTAATAGGCTCCTGAAAAACACAGAACGCAAAATATTTCAAAAGATGAGAAATAATGCACCCTTTTAAACACTTAATGGGTGTGGCTGTGGAGAGTTGCCCTCACCAAAATGCCAGCCTGCCATGAAGTTACAGATGAAATGCCAGGCATGAAATAGAGAACCAAATGGTGAGGCAACAGCCTCGGCAGGACTCTAGTGAAGGGGGAGGAACCCTCGAAGCAAATGCTTGTCAACTTCCTGGGTCACCATGAAAATACAGTAAGACAGTTAAAGTATGTAATAAAATATAAAGCATGTAATAAATGCTCAGGTAATCCTCCCACCTATTGTAAATTCTAACATTTGCTAAAAAGGGAACAACTCAGTACATGATTAAATGGAGGAGCATTTTGGCTAACAGAGTAGCTCTGAACCTTAGTTACACATTAAAATCATCTGGGAGCTCTTAAATATCCAGATGTACCTCAGAATGATAAATCAGAATCTCTGAGGAATGGGCCCAGGCATCAGTATTTTTCACACGAACAAGCAGAGGTGGATCCTTTACCTTCTCCTAAAAAACTGTCACAAGGGACAGGTCACTTGGAAGGCAGTTTAAGAGAGAGCAGAGGAGAAATCTGGTGACACATGTAACACTGTGATTAATCTATTGCTTACGATGTTTTATATGTTGAAAGTCTGGAATTCTGAATATTTTATTATGTAAGAGATCCAGTTCTCCAATGTCACAGCCTCTATAATTTGAATAATAATAAAGGAGCACAACAATTCACTTATGATACCCAACAGAAGACTGCAAGGATATGCTGGGGCACAGAGCCCAATTAGGGTTTAATAAGACAGGGTTTATGGGTGAAGCAATCTAGTTTCCAATCTTTCTTCTTAAAAATCTACAAATGTTTAGGTGTAGATGTGTCAAGGAAAGATTGTTAAAGCTTGGGAGAGATAGAGTTCAGTGTTCACCGGCTTATGAATGCACGTTAAATAAATATCTCCACCCAGGAATTTCCCATTACTAACGGCTAATCACCATCACAAGGGCATACAGCCCTTTAGAATTCCTCTCTAATCCAATCCTGTAAAACTTCACTTAGGATGATGATGGAAACCAAGATTCGGGCCTCCAGCCAATCTATATTACATTAAATAAAGGACGTCACCACCCTTCTCAAGGTTGGGCCAGCAGTTATTTAAAAAAAAAAAAAAAAAGGCTGGGCACAGTGGTTCACACCTGCAATCCCAGCACTTTGGGAGGCCGAGGCAGGTGGACCATTTGAGGTCAGGAGTTCAAGACCAGCCTGACCAACATGGTGAAACCCCGTCTCTACTAAAAAATACGAAAAAATTAGCCGGGCGTGGTAGCATAGTCCCAGCTACTCGGGAGGCTGGGGAGGCTGAAGCAGGAGAATCACTTGAACTTGGGATGTGGAGGTTGCAGTGAGCCAAGATCGCACCACTGCACCCTGGCCTGGGCGACAGACTGAGACTCTGTCTCATAAAAAGAAAAAAGAAAATGAGACCAGGAGTTTGAGACTAGCCTAGGCAACATACTGAGACCCCGACTCTACTTTAAAAAAAAAAAAAACTAAAAAAAAACATCAGCCAGGTGTGCTGACAGGGGCCCGTAGTCCCAGCTACTAGTGAGGCTAAGCCTGGGAGATGGAGGTTGCTGCAAGGCTACTGGGGAGCTTGAGCCCGGGAGATAGAGGTTGCAGTGAGCTATGATTGCCACTGCACTCCAGCCTGGGCCACAGAGTGAGACCCTGTCTTAAAATATATAAAAATATAAATTAAAAAAATTTTTAAAGATGGTATTTAACCAGAGTCAGGAGTTTTCGTAACATATTAACATCCAATACAAGGAACACTAGGTTAGAAAATGCTCATTCAGCTATTTCCCTTGTACAGTGGGTCTAACTTGTGCTTCCTTCACTTACACAACAGTTTTTGAACATCTATACTGTGCAAGGCTTTTTGCTCAAGGAATCTTTGGAGGATACAATTTTAAAGCAATTTCATAAGATATCTATAAGGCTCCGTGAGATCACATAGCAAGAGTGGGAGAGAAAAATTTCAAGTGGTGACATCTAGAAGTCAACAGGAGGAGGTGAGGAGGTGGTCAATCCCACCTATGTATTTATTCTGGACGCTCTCCTACCCCAACTCCTTAGGGTGCTACACAATCTCTTTGTATTCACAAATAACCCCTGGTCAAGAGGTTTGGAGGGAGCGGCGACACCACCAGCCAGCAAACTTCTACTAATTCTGGAGGCAACTTCCTGTCAGCTGGTCCCTAAAGGCTGGTTGCTTCCTGCCAGGAGGCCACTTAGCACAGATTCATCTTTCTTCAGGAGGCAGACAGTTGCTTTTTTTTCTTTTCTTTTCTTTTCTTTTTTTTTTTTTTTTTTTTTTTTGAGCCAGGAGTCTCACTCTGATTGCCCAGGCTGGAGTGCAGTGGTGCTGATCATGGCTCACTGCAGCCTCAACCTCCCAGGCTCAGGTGATCCCCCCAGCTCAGCCTCCCGAGTAACTGGGACTACATGTGCACACCATCACGCCTGGCTAATTTCTCTATTTTTAGTAGAGCTGGAGTTTCACCATGTTGCCCAGACTGGTCTCAAACTCCTGGACTCAAGCAATTGACTCACCTCAGTCTCCCAAAGTCCTGGGATTATGGGCGTGAGCCACCGCACCTGGCCACTTGCTGATTCTCACTGTGGCACTGATTTTAGAGGGAAAGGCAGAGGGGAAGACAATTCATCTTCCCTTCAACCCCAGGTACACACAGTCCCCTGCCCCACACAAATACAAACATGAAGAATAAAAGAGGTACAGGCCTTGACAAGGTTACACTGACATTATTTCCACCCAACAGTATCTCCCACAAAGCGTTAAGGAGGGAAAATAAGAAACTCTTATTAAAATTAGTCTATCTTATTGGAAGGCCCAGTAAGGTAGGTAAATGGCATAAATTCTCAGGAGTTGGTCAATCTATGATAGTTGTAGTTGGAATGAGCTGTCTGTCTAGACCCATGGTCTTCAAGCTTTTCAGCTGACAGCCCACTTCAGAGTGACAAACTACCAGGTCTATGTCTTCCTAACAACTATTTCTCTGTCTACATGTGTTCCACCACAAACCCTAGAGAGAAATAACTGTGAAAAAAATTCTGTAAAGTGAGATATAACATCCAGATTAAAATGTAAATACAAGAGCACTGAAAATGTATGCACATGTAACAAACCTGCACATATACCCCAAATCTAAAATAATTTAAGAAAGGAAATGGACCCACAAAAACTTGTATAAAAATGTTCACAGCAGATTTATAAACAGCCAAAAAAATTAATCAACTGATGAATAGATAAACAAAATGCAGTATATCCCTACTATGGAATATTATTTAGCCATGAAAAGGAATTAATACTGATACCAGCTACAATATGGGAGAACCCCAAAAACGTTATGCTAAGGGAAAGAAACTAGATACCAAAGACCACATATTATATGAATCCATTTATATGAAATACCCAGAAAGGCTGGGTGCCGTGGCTCACACCTGTAATCCCAGCACTTTCAGAGGCCGAGGTGGGCGGATCACCTCAGGTTGGGAGTTAGGTACTAGCCTGACCATGGAGAAATCCCGTCTCTACTACAAATACAAAATTACCCGGGCGTGGTGGCACATGCCTGTAATCCCAGCTACTCAGGAGGCTGAGGCAGGAGAATCCCTTGAACCTGGGAGGTGGAGGTTGTGGTGAGCCGAGATCACGCCATTGCACTCCAGCCTGGGCAACAAGAGCGAAACTTCATCTCAAAAAAAGAAAAGAGAAAAAAAAAAAAAAAAAAAAAGAAATACCCAGAAAGGGCAAATGCATAGGGACAGGAAGTAAATCAGCAGTTGCCAGGGGCTGGGAGGAGTGGGAAATGGTGTATGACCTAATGTGCAGAGTTTGTTTTGGGGGTGATGAAAATGTCCTAGAATTAGATAGTAGTGATTACTACACAACTGTGAATATACCAAAAACCACTGCATTGCACACCTTCAAAGACGAATTTTACGACTGAAATTATATCTCAACTTTTTTTAAATGGTAAATTTGGTGGTATATTAATTGTATCTCAATAAACTGTCATTTTTAAAAAGGGCAGGCAGGCCAAGGCATGACTCCAGATGTAAAGAAACTAAAGACACAAGTAAATGTAGAACACGATCCTCAATTGGACCCTGTATGCAAGACCAAATATTTGTGTCCCCACTAAATTCTTAAATTAAAACCCTAAGTCCATTGTGATAGTATCTGAAACTGGGGCCTTTAGAGGGTAATTAGGTCATGAGGTGGAGCCCTCATGAATGGGATTCATGCTATATAAAAAGGACCCCCAGAGAGCTCTCTTTCTTGGGTATACGATGAGAAATTGGTACTCTGCAACCCAGAAGAGGGCCCTCACCAGAACCAGATCATGCTGGCACTCTGATCTCAGACTTTTAGCCTTCAGAACTATAAGAAGTCAATTTGTTATTTATAAGCTACCCAGTCTAAGGTTGTTATAGCAACCCAAGCAAACTAAGACTGTACTAGACAGTACAATGCTATGAAGAATGTCGTTGTGTCAACTTACAGGACTGAAATACACGTGTGGGCTAGTTAGAAGTATTAAATCAATGTCAGGTTTACTGGGGTTGACAACTGTACTGTGGGTAGGAAACTGTCCTTGTTCTTCGGAGACCTGCTGATGTGCTTGAGGATAGTGGGCCATGTGTACAACTTATGGTTCAGAAAAATGTATCATATATAAATATGAAGAGAGAGCAAGTAATAAAGCAAAGGGGGCAAACTGGTAATAGTAGATGCTGTTCTTTTATTTTTTTCTGTAAATTTAAAATTATTTTCAAACAAAAAGATAAAAAAGTAAATAGAATACACATAATCTGAGATCTAGAAATTCTACTTCCAATAATTTGTCTTATATAAATACCTGCCCAAGTATATTATGTGAAATACTTTTCCCTGTAACATGTTTATAACTGTAAAAAGAAACAACTTCAAAGTTAATGAGTGATAAATTGGCTAAATATATTATTATATCAATGTAGTATACCATATGGACATGTAAAAAGAAAGATGTCTATCTGATATAGAATGACTTCCAGAAATATATTCTTTTGTGAAGAGAAAAAAAGAATTGGTTTATCCCTAGAAACAAAACCAATAAAAAACTCAAGAAGCCTAGGAATGTTTGGATTTGGTTAAGAAAGAAGCTAAGCCTGTTCTATTTATTTATGAGGCCAGTTATTTGTATTTGTAATACAAATAATTTTCTCCCTTACAGCATTGATAATACAAGCTTTACTAATGAAAAAGGAAACTAATACAATCTTGTATGCCACTTACTCCTGTGGTTAACTCAAAGCATTTAAAAATAAATTTCGTAAAAACTCAAGTATAACATATATGCCAATAAGCATACACAAATCATGAATGTACAGCTCAAAGAATTTTTATAAGGTTAACACACTCATGTAATCACCATCCTGATCAAGAAATAGAAACCCACCTGTACTCCAGAAGTTGGCTTCATATGTCTTCCTACTACTAATCTCTCTCCCCAAAGGTAACCACGAACCTGACTTCTTATACCATGGCTGAGTTTTGCCTGTTTTTGAGCTCTTTTGTGTCTGAACTGTTTTGTACAAAATTATGTTCATATCTATGTTGTTGTAAGTAGCAAGAGTTTTTTCATGTTCACTTCTACCTAGTATCTCATTGAATATACAACAATGTATTTATCTATTCTTCCACTGATGGACATGTGGGTTGTTTCCAGCTTGGAGTTATTATGAATTGTGCTGCTATGAACATTCTTGTACATGTCTTTTGGTGAGCATAAGTACACATTTCTGTTGGGTATACACCTAGGAGTGGGTTTGCTAGGTTAAACGCATAAGTATGTAACACTTTAGTATAATAGATACAACCAGTTTTCCACAGTTATTCCAATTTACAATTCCAGAATCCATACATGAGGGTTCTAGTTGCTCTACACCCATGCTGATACTGGTATTTTCAAGTTTTTGTTTGTTTCTCAATTTTAGCTACTCTGATCAGTGTGTAGTGGTAATTCACTGTGGTTTCATTCAGCATTTTTTGATGACGAATATGGCTGAACACTGCTAGAAGCTTTAGTTTTTTTTAACCTTTCGCATTGAGATCTACAATTAGCCTATAATTTATTTTTGTAAGTGATGGCAAGCAAGGACCAAAATTAGTTTTCTTTTTCTTTTCATACAGATAGGCAATTGACGTAGGATCATTTATCGAAAGATCTTTCTTTCCACATTGCTGTAAAGTGCCATTTTAATCATAAATTAGTATCTACATATATGGGTCTGATTCAGGGCTCTATTCTGTTCCATTATCCATTCATTTATTCCACACTGTATATTCAATAGTGTGAATCCTACAACTTTGTTCTTCCTTAATATTACCTTGACTATTCTTGCCATTTGCACTGCCATATGAATTTTAGAATCAACTTATATAAACTTCTGTAAAAGTTTCAGGTATCTTTCTTAGATTTATTACCAGCATTTGATATTTTTTGATGCTATTATAAACAGCATCTAAACATTTCATTTTCTGATTACTGTTATATAGAAATATAGGTTTTGTATAATAACCTCACATCCAGTAATCTTACTAAATTTATGTTTACTTTGAGATGGATTCTCGCTCTGTCACCCAGGCTGGAGTGCAGTGGCATGATCTCAGCTCACTGAAAACCTCTGCCTCCCAGGTTCAAGCGATTCTCAGCTTGATGCCTCAGCCTCCTGAGTAGCTGGGGCTACAGGTGTGCACCACCAAGCCCAGCTAATTTGTGTACTTTTTTTTTTTTTTTTTTCCGTAAAGACAAGGTTTCACCATGTTTACCAGGCTAGTCTCAAACTCCTGACCTCAGGTGATCCGCCCGCCTCAGCCTCCCAAAGTGCTGGGATTACAGGCATGAGCCAACACGCCTGGCCACTACATTTATTTTTAAAGCATTATTTTTTAACTTACATAAAGTAAAATTAATGCTTTTTGGTGTACAGTTCTATGAGTTTTGACCAAATGTACACTGTAATGTAACCATCACCACAATCAAGATGCAGAACGTTTCCATCGCTCCAAAAAATTCAAAAACAAATCCTGGTCAAATCTTAAGTTACCCTAATAACAGATAAGAGAGTACATGGATAAATAAAGTCTAACGATATCCTATAAACTACAATCTAGCCAAAACTATATGACAGCTTCAGTCTCATTTCCTGGCAAATCTTTCCCCACCAAATTCAAAGCCGGTAAGAGAAATGGTAACCAAATCACAGTTCTAGAGCCATAATGTACCAATCTAATATTTAATATGTGGATTCTGAATATCTGAATGGAAAAGAACTTGTTATAAATGATATTGATGTAATAACAGTAACATCATGTACTTTTAGAAACCCAAATGAAATTACACTATAAAAATAAGTTATATTTCCCATGCAAAATAAATGGATAATGAAAACATCTGAGAGTTATTTATACAATATTATAAATTTATGAAATGCTATCATTTGGGGGGGAAATTCTGCACCCTCTGGATAATGATTATGTTAATGAATTCTGGTCTACTAATGATCACCCATGGTTTAGTTTTATCTTTTTTACTTTACCTGTGTTTCGTGGTTGTGTTTTTTCACAATTAAATGTCCAGCCTATGCTCAGAGGGATGGATGGTGATAAGTAGCCCCAAAGGGCCTAGATAATATTTTGCAATGAAACTGTCAGTGCTACCAAATATATTTCAATCCTTGAGTTACTGTATAACCAAAGTTAAGAATGAATGAACAAGGGTGGCTCTGACCATTATGGCAACTTTCCACAATGTAGTTCTTTGAAGCTGCCTCAGTCCTTCCATTACCTCCGCTATTTACACACCCAGGTGTTTTTAGTATTTTGTAAGAAGGGACTGGTAATGGTCAATCAAGACCTGGCAATAGGCCAGAAAGCAATATAGATGTCACAGATGGTCAAGCACAAAGACAACACTAGATAGACATGCTGTGTTCTAGTGTAAGCACTACCAACATCTCATGCATTCTGAGTCACCCTACATATTGCTTACCCATTCCTATTTGGTTTACTGGATTTTGCTTGTTTACTTTATTCCTCCTATAGTATTGTCAGCATGAGAACATTTTAAGTCATGGCACCATATGGCAATAATATATAACTCCATAACTAAAATAAGCTCCCTAAAGACTGGCTATCTGTCAGATACTATCTATAAGACACAAAAAATTAAAAACATCAAGTGCTTGAAACCTAAAAATAATTTTATCTTAGCAGTACCCTTAAGCCTCAACCACAATCACATTATTTCTTACCTTTAATTAACATCATGATATCATTGTCCATATGAGAGCCATGGACAACAAATAAATCAGTTTAGAAATACTTCTTTATACCTGGCATGAAAATATAGCTGTTCTTAACAGAAATAAAAATTCACTGAATTTGGACTGGTGTTTTGTTTGCTCTATGTATTTAAAACAATAACAGGCCAGTGCAGTGGCTCATGCCTGTAATCCCAGCACCTTAGGAGGCCGAGGCAGGTGGATCACCTGAGGTCAGGAGTTTGAGACCAGCCTGGCCAACATGGCAAAACCCCGTCTCTACCAAAAATACAAAAATTAGCCGGGCGTGGTGGTGCCCACCTGTAATCCCAGCTACTTGGGAGGCTGAGGCAGGAGAATCGCTTGAACCCGGGTGGAGGTTGCAGTGAGCCGAGATAGCGCCACTGCACTCTAGCCTGGGCGACAGAGCGAGACTTGGTCTCAAAACAAACAAAACAAACAAACAAAAAAAAGCAAAAAAAAAAAAAAGAAAATACATTGTCCAATGAACTTTTCACCTTCTACTTCCTTATGACTGTGAGTAGGCTTAAAAAAAAAAAAAAAAAAAAAAAAAAGCAAAACATACTACTGTGTATCTCCAGGGTAAGTACAAGCTCTACTACTCCAGGCCATATCCACCATAGGACTTGTGTACAGCAGCATTAAAAAAACAAATATTTAAGCCCAGGATTCTGAGGTGATACCATGCTATAAGCAGGAAAATAAGTAAGATCAAAAGTTAGAAAATCAAAGATCCAACAAAGCTTTGGTGGAGTGCTACCTTCTAGCTATTGGCTGGCAACAAAGATTTCTCAGTGTAGAAGTTAGATAATACTGAGATTCCAAGGAAATCTTAGACACAAGAGGTTAGCTGGTAAAAGGCAATGCTTGCAAAATTTACAATTTTAGAGCTGGAAAAACCTTAGATATCACCTAGTCCATCCCTCTGGTTTACATATAATGAGGAGAGGGAAGAAGAAGAGAATCAACCCGAGCCCTCCAAATCCTCTTTGGAGTATGAAACCCTGACTAAGCAGTACCAGTAATAGCAGAAGAAGCAGAGATGACAGTTACTGTACTCCACTCACTCCATTTTTGTATCCCTGAACTATATCACATCTAATCTGTGAGTTCTAAGTAGCTGATTCACATTAAAGAAAAAGGCATCCTACAACTCAACAACAAAAAACTCAAATAATCCAATTTTTAAATGGGCAAAGGACTGGAATAAACATTTCTCCCAAGATGATATATAAATGGCCAACTATTTGAAAAGATGCTGAACATCACCAATCACCAGAGAAATGTGAATCAAAACCACAATGAGGTATCACGTCACACCCATTAGGACAGCTAAAAACAACAAGTGTTGGCTGGGCACAGTGGCTCATGCCTGTAATCCCAGCACTTTGGGAGGCCGAGGCAGGCGGCCTGAGGTCAGGAGTTTGAGACAAGCCTGGCCAACACGGTGAAACCCCATCTCTACTAAATATACAAAAATTAGCTGGGCCTGGTGGCACGTGCCTGTAATCCCAGCTACTCGGGAAGCTGAGGAAAGAGAATCACTTGAACCCAGGAGGCAGAGGTTGCAGTGAGCCGAGATCGCACCACTGCACTCCAACCTGGTGACAGAGTGAGACTCTGTCTCAAAAAAAAAAAAAAAAAGAAAAAGAAAAAGAAAAAGAAAAAAAAGAAATATTTTGCAATAGATCTCTTCCTTTTTCTTGCTGTGTTCCTCCCAACCTTTAATAATCTAAAGGTGTCAAGAACTGCTCCAGGATACTATCTTCCTTCTCCCAAACCATCCTACAGAAGCGGCCAGCTAACATACTGCTCTTAGAGTAAGCAGGGCAGGTCTGCAATCGTGGAGAAAAGGGGAAATCATCAGGAGGGGATTTCAAGTGGGTTGTCCTCCACTTCTAATCATGATCATGACTTTATCCCTCAGCCTATGAAAAGCAGAGACTAGGGTGACAGACCCCAAGCTGAAAAACCCCTAGGGCAAAAAAATGAGAACACTGTACTGAGTGTACTTTAATTACAGACAATACACACATATGTATATCTTTCTCTATTAAAATAAAAATACAATTAGTCTTTCATTTTCAATGAAATATGAGTAACTGCCCAAAACCCAAAACCTAATTTTAGCTTTAGCCTCTTTACCATCGACATCATTATTAGGGATACAACCCAGTCATCAAGATGACTGAAAAAGTGGCACTGCTGCTTTCCCCTGTGTAACTGAATACACAATTCCTACTAACAGAAATGGAATACTGGTAAGTTGCTAAAAGGCAGACTATCTAGTATAGTTATTTTAACCGTGTTTTGATGGAAATCCTTCAATTATATGTGCATCTCCATGACTCCTGTTGCACCCACCCCCGCACTTCCCTAGTCCCATTCTTCCAGGCCCAGCACATGGGGGAGCCCAGCTGATCCTGGAGTCTTCCTCCGTGCCCTCCATGCTTAGCTCCACTCTCTGTCCACAGCCTCATTTTGCCTATAGCTATTTCCATAATCACTAATGCCTACTCCATTCACTCTTACCATTCTTCTTTCATTTATCTTCTGCCATCCCTTAGCTCTCCCAAAAGAAAAAAATAACAGTCTCCCCACCTGGATGAAACAAATGACTGCCAAGAGCAGTCCGTTCTCCTCTCACATATGTTACCATCTCTCCCATTCTGTCATTCAAGAAAAAAAATAACTCAGTACCCTGGATTTTGAATACAATAAGTAAGTATGAACAGATATGTGTGTATATATGTGGCCACAGTGCTTTTTTATTAAAAAAAAAAAATAGGGAGAGCAAATTTTCACTTTTTTATGTTATAAAGTGCTCTCACTGACTCTTCCCTTCTGTCTACCCTTTATCCAACACGCTCTGATGTTATATGACCTTCCACCCATAATAGTATCTGGCCACATGGCTCATCCTACACACTAACATAGTCCCTTCTCCCTGACAAATTCATCAACTAAGATGGACATGTTACTTTATTGATTTAGATGCGTGTATCAGACCAGGCGCAGTGGCACTCTGGGAGGCTGAGGCAGGTGGATCACCTGAGGTTAGGAGTTGAAGACCAGCCTGGCCAACATGGTGAAACCCTGTCTCTACTAAAAATATAAAAATTAGCTAGGCATGATGGAGGGTGCCTGTAATCCCAGCTGCTTGGGAGGCTGAGGTGGGAGAATCGCTTGAACCCGGGAGGCGGAGGCTGCAGTGAGCCAAGACGGCGCCATTGCCCTCCAGCCTGGGTGACAGAGTGAGACTCCGTCTCAAAAAAAAAAAAAAAAATGTGTATCAGACTGCTCTAAAAAGATGTCAGCACATGGTACTAGTTTACACCAGCAGTTTTCAAAGTGTGATCCAGAGATGAGGAAGGAACCCCTTCAAGGGATCTATAAAACTATTTTTGATAATATGAAGATGTTATCTGTCTTTTTCACTTTCATTCCCTCATGAGTGTACAACAGTGGGTCGAGGATGCACGGTATGTGGTGATGATGTATCTATCACTCTGACAGCTAAGAAAACATATACTTGTATATTCTTTACTGCCTATCATTTTTTAAAAACCCAGTTTCACCCATCATTCTCAGCAAAGTAACACAGGAACAGAAAACCAAATAGCACATGTTCTCACTCATAAGTGAGAGTTGAACAATGAGAACACATGGACACTGGGAGGGGAACATCACACGCTGGGGTCTGTTGGGAGGGAAACATCACACGCTGGGGTCTGTTGGGGATTGGGAGGATAGAGGAGGGATAGCATTAGGAGAAATACCTAATGTAGATGACGGGCTGATGGGTGCAGCAAACCACCATGGCATGTGTATACCTGTGTAACAAACCTGCACGTGCTGCACATGTACCCCAAAACTTAAAGTATAATTAAAAAAAAAAGCCAGTCTCACTTAACAACATCCTTGATAAAATAATAAAAGGTATTAATTTTTAAAACGTCAACTCTTGAGAACTTGGCCTTTTTCATATTCTGTATGATGAAATAGGAAGCACACATAAAGCATTTCTGCTGCATACCTAAGTATAATGATTATCTTGGGGAAAAGCATTTATACAATTTTTTTTTTTCATAGGACACCATTTTTGCTTTTTTGACTAGCAGACAATTTACACTTATTCAGACTTTGGTATCTGGCAGACATTTTCTCTAAAATGAATAAAGTGAACCTGTCACTTTAAGAAAAACCGGCAATATTGGGCTGCTGGCCGTGGCTCACACCTGTAACCCCAGCACCTCGGGAAGCCTAGGCAGGCAGATCACTTGAGGCCAGGAGTTCAAGACCAGCCTAACCAACATGGCGAAACCCCCATCTCTACTAAAAATACAAAAAAAATCAGCCAGGCGTGGTGGTGCGTGTAATCTGAGCTAGGCAGAGGTTGCAGTGAGCCAAGATCACACCACTGTACTCTAGCCTGGGCGACAGAGGGAGACTGTATTAAAAAAAAAAAAAAAAAAATGGGCACTATCTGTTGCCAATGATATAAATTAAGCTTTCAAGAGAAAACTGGTATTTTGGAAAACTTGAATTCGCCACCAAGATCTTGACCACTTCCCAATTCTTAAAGATTTTTTGGATGAGACTGATGGTGATATTAATGACTGTGATTTGCTTAATATTGTATAATCAAATGTGCCAACATTTCAAAGATGTGCAGAACTTAGTAAACCTTTTTTTTTTTTTTTTTCCGAGATGGAATATCGCTCTGTTACCCATGCTGGAGTGCAGTGGCACGATCTCAGCTCACTGAAACCTCCACCTCCCAGGTTCAAGCAATTCTCCTGTCTCAGCCTCCCGAGTAGCTAGGACTACAGGCGTGCACTGCCATGCCTGGCTAATTTTTGTTATTTTTAGTAGAGACGGGGTTTCACCATGTTGGCCAGGCTGGTCTTGATCTCCTGACCTCGTGATCCACCTGCCTCGGCCTCCCAAAGTGCTGGGATTACAGGCGTAAGCCACTGTGCCCAGTCAGCTTAGTAAACCATTATTTTTTGAATGATCAATGTATGCAGTTACAAAATCACACACAGGTCAAAGATCCATTCAAAGTGCAAGATGGACCAGTGGATTTTAATGTTACAGAGTACACAAAATTCACTGACATGGCTTCAGATTCAGCAGTGCAACTAATATTTAAGAATCTGGCTGGGAGCGGTGGCTGCGCCTGTAATCCCAGAAATTTGGGAGGCCGAGGCAAGCGGATCACTTGGGGTCGGGAGTTTGAGACCAGCCTGGTCAATATGCTGAAACCCCATCTCTACTAAAAATATAAAAATTAGCTGGGCATGGTGGTGCGTGCCTGTAATCCCAGTTACTTGAGAGGCTGAGGCAGGAGAATCACTTGAACCCGGGAGGCAGAGGTTGCAGTGAGCTGAGATCACACCACTGCACTCCAGCCTGGGCGACAGAGCGAGACTATCTCAAAAAAATAAATAAATAAATAAAAAGCATTTACCAATTGTTGAATTTTGGTGTAACAAAAATATTCACAATTATATGAAAAGACTATGAAAATACCCCACCCTTCTTCAACTATGTATCCGTGTGCAGCCAGGTTTTCTTCACGTATTTCAACCAAAACAACATATCACAACAGATTGAATACAGGAGCAATTATGCAAACCCAGCTATCTTCTATAAAGAAATATACTAAAGAGAATGGCAAAACGTAAAACAATGCCATGTTTCTCACCAGATTTTTTTGTGTGTGTTGGAATACCTTTTTCATAAAAGCATATTATTTATATCAACCCTCTTTGTTTTTTCTTCTTTTTTTTGAGACACAGTCTCGCTCTGTCGCCCAGGCTGGAGTGCAATGGCAGGATCTCGGCTCACTGCAACCTCTGCCTCCCGGGTTCAAGCGATTCTCGTGCCTCAGCCTCCCAAGTAGCTGGGATTACAGGCGCCCACCACCACACCTGGCTAATTTTTGTATTTTTAGTAGAGACGGGGTTTTACCATGTTGGTCAAGCTGGTCTCGAACTCCTGACTTCATGAGATCCACTGACCTCAGCCTCCCAAAGTGTTGGGATTACAGGCATGAGCCACCATGCCTGGCCTAATGTTTGTTATTTTTTAAATAAATAAATATTTTAAACATTTTTCAGTTTTAATTTCTAATGTTAAGTATGGACAGACATAGTCTATATAAACAAAAGATTTTTGGGGTCCTCAGAAATTTTTAAGAGTATAAATGTGTCCTGAGACCAAAATGTTTGAAAACCATTAGTTTATAGTACCACAAAAAAATAGCACTTTTAAGTATATGTATACAAGAGAATGGACACCTGAATATGAATCAGAAGATCTTGGCTCCAATTCTAGCACCACTTCTTACTTGCTTTAGGATTTCAATAAATTACTTCATCTCTCTAAGGCCTTAGTTTCCTCATCTGTAAAATGGGTAACTCATGTCTTCCAAGGATAAAAGAGACAAAATATGTAAAAGCAATTTATAAACTACAAGGTACACTATTATTACAAGATCTCAAAGTTAAGCATTTTAAACACTTCTTATGATGTTTTGTTTCTTTGTTTTTGAAACAGGGTCTCACTCTGTTGCCCAGGCTGGAGTGCACTGGCACTAACATGGCTTACTGCAGCCTTGACCTGCCAGGCTCAGGTGATCCTCCTACCTGAGCCCCACGAGTGGCTGGGACTACAGGTGTGCACCATCACACCCAGCCAATTTTTTGTATTTTTTGTGGCGACAAGGTTTCACCATGTTGCCCAGGCTGGTCTACTCCTGACCTCAAGTGATCCGCCCACCTCCCCAAGTGCTGGGATTACAGGCATGAGCCACCATGCCTGGCCTCTTACGATGTGTCTATGAAATTTTCCTTATTCTTAAAATTTTATTACTAAAAACAGAACTTATAGAAAATGTCAAGTGCAGGCCAGGAGCAGTGGATTACACCTATAATCCTAGCACTTTGAGAGGCCAAGACAAGCAGATCACTTGAAGTCAGGAGTTTGAGACCAGCCTGGCCACCCTGGTGAAACCACATCTCTACTAAAAATACAAAAATTAGCTGGTGTGGTGGTGCACGCCTGTAATCCCAGCTACTTGGGAGGCTGAGGCAGGAGAATTGCTTGAACCCAGGAGGCAGAGATTGCAGTGAGCTGAGACTGCGCCACTGCACTCCAACCTGGGTGACAGAGTGAAACTGGGTCTCAAAAAAAAAAAAAAAAAAAAAAAGCCAAGTGCAGACTTTTGATTAGCTAATTAGCTCAAATGTCCAAGCATATAATTTTACTTTATTTTATTTTGCAGAGACAGAGTCTCACCATGCTACCTAAGCTGGTCTCAAACTCCTGACCTCAAGCGATCCTCCCACCTCAGCCTCCCAAAGTACTGGATCATAAGAATGAACCCTCATACCCAACCCAACAACACAATTTTATTGCATTTAATTTCTTACCCTACAGTTATAATTGGTTATATATTTTAAATCATTATTAGGGACATTTCCAAATATACACAAATGTAAAAAAAATAACAAACTCCAACTTACCCATTACTCAGCTTCAACAATTTTCAAAAATTTATCAATACTCTTTTATTCATTTCCCACTTCTGTGTGTTTGTGCCCATCCTGAAGTTTTTTAAAATGAACATTTCGCATCATTTTATTCTGCCTGTAAGTACATCCATATGTATTTTTAACACATGAAAATATTTTAACATAACCACAATATGACTATTATAGCTGAAAACATTATGGTTGTAACTATTAAATATCACCTAATATATATTCCATTTTCAAGTTTCCCAACTGTCTCAATTAAAAAAAAAAAGTCTTTGTTAGTTTTTGGTTGGTGGGTATTATCAAAATATCATTCTTACCAATTCTTTCTCAAGTCAACCCAAGATGTTTAACTAAAGCTACGAAGGAAGAGGAAATAATACTATGCTTCATATACCATGTACAGTTTACAAAACAAGTCAAGAACTATCTTCTCGAGGAATTTTCTTTTCCACCAACCAAACAATAACAACAAAAACCAAGCAACAACAACAAATAAACCCACTACAAAATAAGCCAGCATGGCAATACATATACCTTAGTATTCTGAGAAGTGATCCAAAGAGCACACAGCTCAGCTGCTCGGGAAGAGAAGGAGCTGTTACACTGTGAGCCGAAAAAGGTGACTGGAAACAACCACCCATCATTTTGGAAAAGAAGAAGTCAGGTCAGCCACAGGGTCAAAGCTGGAGGTGAGGTCAGAGACCCCGTTCTAGAGTGAGCACATGGCTCAAATAAGAGTCCATGCCCAAGACTATAAGTCAACCCCTTGCAAACTGCAACTCAAAGCTCAAAACACAGTGCTCTAAGCTAGAGATATAATGGAACGGCTATAAAAAGCAACAGGTGTAAGAACTGACTGAAATTATTTGACAAACATTTGTCAAAAGCCTACTCTACTATCCTGGGATATAAACTGTGTATTTAAAAACTAGTACAACGCACACTGTAAGTAGCATATACTTCTCTACACATCTTTCCCCATTTATTTTAAGAGAAATAATGGATATATTAAATATTAATTATCTTGCCATACCATTACATCTTTTTTCTATAAACGCAATTTGCCCCACCCCAACATACATAGACATTAAAACAAACCTGAATTCTTCTGTCTTTCCCAAATATTTTTGAGGAGTACAAGTCAGATTAACTTTTATTACACATACCACAGACCCACAGCATTTATAGCTGTAATTCTTTTCTAAATTAAGGCCAAGCATGGTGGCTCACACCTGTAATCCCAATGCTTTGGGACGCCGAGGTGGGAGGATTGATTGAGCCCAGGAGTTCAAGACTAGCTGGGCAACATAGCAAGACCCTGTCTCTACACAAAATAAAAAATTAGCTAGGTATAGTTGCACATGCCTATAGTCCTAGCTATTTGGGAGGCTGAGGTGGGAGAATCCCTTGAACCGAGGAAGTCAAGGATGTAGTGAGCTGTGATGACACCACTGCACTCCAGCTTGGGCGACAGAGTAAGACCATGTCTCAAAAAAATAAAAATTAAATAAATTAAGCATTTAGTTTAGGAGGAAATCAAGAGAGCACTAAAGAATTTCCTACCTTGTATTAAAATTGTTTCCCATAGGTTTATCTCAAGTATTTTGTAGATGAAAATTGGTTAGGTGCATACAGAATAATTCTTGAGGGATTTGGTTCTATAGACACACTTAATATCAACACTTTTTAAAATCCTTTACCTCAATTTCACCTATAAAAAAGTTTTGCTGGTCACAGTGGCTTGTGCCTGTAATCCTAGCACTTTGGGAGACTAAGGCAGGAAGACTGCTTGAAGCCAGGAGTTTAAGACCAGCCTGGGCAACAAAGTGAGACCCCCATCTCTATAAAAATAATAAAAATAAATAATAATAATTAGCCGGGTGTGGTGGCATGCACCACCTGTGGTCTCAGCTACTTGGGAGGCTGAGGCAGGAGGACTGCTTGAGCCCAGGAGTTTGAGACTACAGTGAGCTATGATTGCTCTATTGCACTTCAGCCTGTGTGACAGAGACAGACCCCATCTTTAATTAAAAAAAAAAAAATTAAAAACTGCAAAAAGAGTGAAGGGCACATATTTCTTAAAGAATGCTTCAGAAGAACAAAATGTGCCCCAAAACATGAAATAGCTCCTGATAATATCAGTTTTTAGTTGACCACTATGAAGGACATCTTCTAAACAATAACAAAACAAACCTGGCAGTCCAATAACTACAGGAAAGATCAAGACTTCCCCATTTTGGAACATCTTTGCTTCAGGTTTTTACTTTTTGTAGTAATACAGGAACAATATGCCATAGGGACAAGAGTTGAACAGGTGTCATCCCTTACCCTATTTTACCTATTGGTAATTAAGCCTAACAGTTTATTGTCTGTACATCTTTTCTTTTGTATGTTCCCATACAAAACAATCTTTGGAATTTAGCTTCACTTTATGACACTATGGTGATTATTGTTCCTAACAGAGAGTCTAACCTAAGAATATAGCCCAATACGTGAAAAAGCTAACTGAACAGTAAACAATGACATTAATCTCATTGTAAAAAAACATGAGATTCTTAGCAAATGGCAGCAAAAGAACTGTGGATACATTAACAAGGCATTAAAAAAAAAATTTAAAGTTTCTGGCCGGGTGTGGTGGCTCACACCTGTAATCCCAGCACTTTGGGAGGCCAAGGCGGGTGGAACACGAGGTCAGGAGATCGAGACCATCCTGGCCAACGTGGTGAAACCCCGTCTCTACTAAAATACAAAAAAAAATTAGCTGGGTGCGGTGGCACACGCCTGTAGTCCCAGCTACTCGGGAGGCTGAGGAAGGGGAATCGCTTGAACCCGGGAGGCGGAGGCTGCAGAAAGCCGAGATGGCGCCACTGCACTCCAGCCTGGCGACAGAGCAAGACTCCGTCTCAAAAAAAAAAAAAAAAAAATCTAAGTTTCCATGCTTTGACCTAAAAAAAAGTCACATAGGTTTCTTTTTCTTTAATTCCCATTTCTTTTTTTAAAAACTGGTTAATGTGTAGATTTTTATTCAAATTCATTTGGACTGCACATGAATATTAAAAAGTTATAACATGAAGACTGTTCATTAGACTATCATAGGCAAAGCAAGTGATTCACAGAATAAGTGCAATTTATCGACCCTGATCATTACCTTTACTACCGACCACTATTTAACATCACTTTTTTAATGTACTGTTTACTTGTTTACTGTCTTTGTTTATTGTCCTGTCTTCTCCCACTAGAATATAAGTTACGTAAGGGCAAAAACTTTCTCTTATTTTCCACTGTATGGCCAGGGTCTAGCACTTGGTAGAGGATCAGCATAAATTTGCTGAATGAGATGGGTGAATACCTTCCGCCTTTCGCCTCCCCCACTTCCCTCTCTCCATACACATGTTAACCAATCTTTAAGGCCAGGGTCAAATTCTATTATCTCTATGAAGATTACCTCCCTGAGCCCTCTTTCTCTTTTGTACCTGAATTTGGCACTTGCCAGCTGTCTGGTAATTATCTTTGCATATGTATGTATCTCCCTTAAAATTCTTATAATCCTGTTCTCCATAACATGGGCCAGTGTCCCCAACTTTTGGAATCCATCTCAGCACATGTAAACAGCATACTGCTAACAAATGTTTTGCTTGATTCCTATCAGTAGTTAATCCAGAAATTCAGTTAATAATTTCAGTTTATAATGTATCCCTCCCTTTCAAATAACTCAAAATAGGCCATGATATTACAGCGAATCCCTCTTTTTATTTCTGACAATTTTAAATTTTACATTCTCATATAAGTAATGCTCATAATTTACCCTATCAATCACTATCCCTCAAGATTATATGTTTTTTTTTTTTTGATACACTGTCTTGCTCTGTTGCCCAAGCTGGAGCGCAGCAGTGCCATCATAGCTCACTGCAGCCTTGACCTCCCAGGCTCAAGAGATCCTCCCACTTCAGCCTCCAAAGTAGCCGGCACCACAGCTGCGTACTACTACCATACCTAGCTAATTTTTTGATTTTCTGTGGAAACAAGGTCTTTGTTGCCAGGGCTGTTCTCAACACCTGAGCTCAAGTGATCCTCCTGCCTTAGCCTCTTAAAGTGCTGGGATTATAGGAATGAGCCACCACGCCTGGCCTACATTTTTTAATGTAATAAAAAAATCTTGTGACTTTGTGGCAATACCTATAATGATGTTTCTAACCCCAGTCAAGAAGGGCGTGAAGTTTCATTCCTCTCTCTTGTTGCTGAGGTATCAGAGGGCATTTTTCCACTTATTCCTCTTTCCTTTCATGGCAAGATGTATTCTGTTCCCTTCCTTACTGATCATACTCCTGGCAAGCTTTTATTATTTCTTTGTACCTGTCCAAGGTAATCTGTCTTACATCCTTCTTTTGAGCCACTGTTTCCTCCAGTTATTTATTTGATTAAAATTCTAACTCCCTGTCTCAATCCATTTGTGTAGAAGAACCAGCTCTTCTTAAAGCCTGAGCCTGCTTCTTTAAATTCGGCCAACCTTTATGAACCTCTCTTCACACAGCCAACCCTTGATCATCAAGGATAATGAAATGCATACAAATAACAGATTGTCTACAACACAAGAAAATCAGAAAAAAAAAATTGACATCTGGCTTTGGAATTTATCATATGTAGCTTTGGGCAAGACTTATTTTCCTAATTATGTTTTTGTTTAAGCCAACATTCGGATTTTCTTTTATGATGGTGAATATCTCCGTTTTAAATGATCAGTAAATTTCTTTTAAAGCCAATCAAGCACCAACTATGGTTTTTCCTGTGAAATCTTTTTAACTAGTTTCTTTCATCTGTTGAAATCTGTCATAAAATCTGTTTTATTTCCTCTAAGTTATCTCCTTATTTTCTTGGGATTCTGATCCAAATCAGTTCACCCTATATTAATTTACTTCTTCAAATTAAAGTACCTTTTGCTTGAGAACTTAATGCATTTTAAAAACACTGAATGTCCAGTGAAATTTTTAGTTCAGGTAACACGAAGTAGAAAATTATTTTTGTCTAGGAAAACTTGGGAGTTCTAGGATAAATTATTACACTGGTAATTCTAGCAAATTATATTTAGTAGGATTTTTAGGATTAGCTGAAAATTGAAAAAATTTAATACTGGACAGCTATATAAGTCTGCTTCATCAATATATTAATCCCATATGCTAAACACTGTATGAAATTAAATTCCCAGTCCAGGGATTTACAGAAAATAGCATCAAAACACACTAACACATAAATCCTGCCTCTTATTCTGATCCCTACCTAAACTCTGCAACCTTCTCACACCTACTCTTCCCCCCTCCCATCTCAGCCTCACTTCCACTCTCAACTGTCCCACAAATAATTTTTAAACGTGTAGGAAAAAGGAAAAGAACCGGGGTAACAGTGTCTCCTCTTTTACTGCCTTCTCAGTTACTGCCATTAAGCTTTTGGCCCAAAGACTCCAATCCCCAATTTTACATGTCTATTTTTATTTTATAGGTACACACTTACAATCACCAAACTGAACGAAAGGATAGGGCATTCTAAATTGAAAAAGGAGCAAAACTGGATAATTCTGCAGTTCTGTTCCTAGCCCCCTCCATAATCATGCACTATGATCATTTGGCACTATAATCAAGCCAAATGAGATATTGTACTTTGAGTTGCTGATATAGCAGAGGTTAATACTAAAAAAGAAAAAAAAAATTAATTACCACAGTTTACATTTTTTATCTGAATGTACATTTATAGTACTTGAACCGAGTTATTTTCAAAACACTATTCACACTAACAAAATTCAAAATAAATTCATTTCTAATTTTTCCCCCATGTAGAATTTTGATAAGTGCAAAAATTATTTTACCTAAAATCCAACTCTTGGGCTGGTGTTATTTAGCCTATATTTTTACATAAGACTGTAAATGTTAGCCAAATTAAAAAAAATTTTAATGCAACTTTCCACATTGTCTTCAAACTCAGTAAATTCCACAATTTTAAAAAACAAAAACCTTTCACCGTGCCTACTCACATTTTTACTAAAATCCCTACACAGAGCCATACATTCTGCTTTTCATTTTACTTCTCCAAGCTGCTGCCTTCACCAAATAGACTCCACGAGCCTCCCAAGTGGTATCCACCAATATATGTGATACTCAAGGAAAAGTAGGTATTAAAGAGTAATTAATTCAATTGGTACGAAATCTTTTCTTTTAAAATTTTACCTTAACTTTAAAAAGCCCTTTTCTTGATGGAGGTGAAACAGCATAAATCCTTTGAGGAAACGGTTATCCTTTACGTGGACTCTCCATCAGCCCCATAAGGTGAGTGGCATAAAGAGGCATTTTTCTGACAGTCTCAGTTCCCCAAACACTAGTCCTAAACTTTTGCATGGATGGTAAATTTCACACACACACACACACACAGAGGCGGAAAAGAAAGAAGAGAAAGAAACATACCTGGTTTATTTTCTAAACAGGTTTGATAGGTTTGGTTCACTTGAAAGAGCAGAGTATTTACTTATAATCTTTTAAAACAGAAGTGGGAGCCAGAGCGCTGGGTAAATAAAAACTTCAGAGAGTTTTAAAACCCTGCATCTTAACTCACTTCCCTTTGGTTCAAGGGGATGGCACAGCAAACCCCACGGC
The DNA here is from genome assembly GCF_000001405.40 of Homo sapiens. Classification (NCBI taxonomy): domain Eukaryota; kingdom Metazoa; phylum Chordata; class Mammalia; order Primates; family Hominidae; genus Homo; species Homo sapiens. The sequence continues at coordinate 530,192 of NW_011332696.1, forward strand.
AAATGAGATTATGCAACAGGTTTTTTTCCTCCCCAGCTTATTCATCACAGGCTGGTTAGAGGTGTGCTTTCTCCAATCTGAGACACCCACGACTTCAAAACGCCAAGAATCCTTGCAGTTGATGTTTCCTAAACTTCTTTAGGATTTTGCAGTATCCATTCATTTTCAGATCTACTTGCCTTTTCTCTGGTTCATTATTGGTATTCTTTAGGAAATAAACCCAGCATCTGAAAATATTTCCCTCTGTGGTGTTTCATTACATGAAACTACACGTGATACACAGACCCTGGGCTTTTTTATTTCTCACGTTTTGCAGCTAGTGTAAATAAAGAAGTCACTAGGCGTCGGGCCCCCCAACGCCAAGACCCGAGCCCCTGTCCGAAAATTGAGGGCTTTTTCGGTTGGTTGGTTGAAGAAAGCAGCACCGTCACCACCCAGGTGGCCTCGCTGCTTACACCAAAGGCGAACTGGGGATAATGGGAACAGTCAGGCCAGGGCCCCACTTGGCAGGCGTGTTGTGTAACAGTCGCGCCTGGAAGTGAGCAGCTTCGCCCGCAAAGGTGCCGCGTCCCGCGGCGGCCGCTCCTCTCGGCGGGGCCCGGTCCAAGCGCCGCGCAGCGGCCGGGAGCGCACCCACTGCGACCCCGCGCCCGGCCGCACGCCCCCTTCCCGCTCCGGCCAGCCTCCGGCCAGGCCTACACCCCCGCTTCAAACGCTCCTGCGGCCCCCGGCCGCGGTCGCCCCCACGCCGCCTCCCGAAAGGGTGGCCGGTACGCCCGGGAAGGCAGAGACGGCGGGGCTGGAGCGCGGCGCCCGGCACCGGGAGTCGGGGCGCGCTGCGGAGCGTCCATGCGGCCGGGCGGGAGGGCGCCCCGGGCCCCGCACCCTCCCGCCCGCACACCCCGCGCGGCCCGCCAAGGCCACTTACTTTTGGGGCCGCCGACCTCCCAATTCCCTCAGAGGGAAACGAAAGTTGTCACGGCGTCTCCCCTCGGGCCCCCCTCGCCTCCCGGACTTGCGAGGCGCCGCCGCGGAGCCGAGAGGGCGGCTGCGCTCCCGCTCGCGTCCCGTCCCGTCGCTCTCCTCCTCCTCTTCTTTTCAGTATATTATCTTCTCCTTCTCTGAGGGGTGGGTTGGGGCGGGAGGCTTAGGAAGAGAGGAGACGCTCGCAACTTTTCTTCACTCTTTCTCTTCCACCCTCCCCCCCATCAGCCTTCAAAAAAAATGTCGAAAGAGATGAAGAACTTAGGGAGGTAAAGGTGGGGGGCCGCGTTGTGAAAGTGGGGGTTGGGGGGGAGAGAGAGGTGGTAATAATCGTTTAAAAACTGATTAAAGCCCCCCAAACACTGATACATAGAAAGAGGGGGAAAGGCGGGGGGGTGGGGTGGGGGGTTGGGGGAAAGAGAAAGAGTCGCTGGTCAGGAAACTTCAAGCGCGGATGAGGTCATTGGTTTAAAAATAAAGAGATGGCGTCACTTGAAACCAATCCCAGTGAATGAACTCAGCGGAGCCCCGGGGAAAGGAGGAGACAGGCGAGGGCAGGGCGGTGGGCGCCGGGCGGGGCCGCGCGCTCGCCCATCCCGCGGCCGCCCGAGCCCGGAGCGCGGCTCCGCGCCTCGTTCCGGCCGCTCGGGGAGGGGTCAGGTCATGTTCCCTTCCAGAGTCCGGCGACTCTGAGGCAGGTTCCGCGGGCGCCGCTGGGAGGAGCCGGAGCTGCCGGAGGAGGCGGCCCCGCGGCCTCCTCCCCCACCTCTCCCTCCTCCTCCTCCTCCTCCCGCGCCCGCGCGCCCGCCCCCTACCCCCGGGCTCGCGGCCCCGACCCCCGGGCCGGGGTGTCCGCCTCCAGTGCTGCGCCCCAACAGGTATCGGAGGGTTTTCTCCCTCACCCAGACGCAGAACCTTTCCCTCCTCCTTGAGCTGTTTCCAGCTGCCTCACCAACGTCAAAAAACGCAAACACTGATTTGAGAGAATTACACTCGCTCTGTAAAAAGTCTGGCGAATGCAAAAGGCAAGGCTCTGCCATCTCTCAGGAGAGAAGTTACAGGTACTTCAAGAAAAATCACACTACTGTTGTCAGGCATTCAGCTATCTATATGTTTATGGTTGAAAGCCCCCACATAAATGTTCCTACATTACTTTACTTTGCTTATATTTACAAATACAAGGATAAGCAGCCTACATTTTCTTTAAAAATGTTTTCTACAGGAGGCAGCGCAGAAACATCTTTAAATAAGACCAGGGGTTAACCGCCTCTTGAGAGGTACAAAACCCTTGTTGATTTAACTCCACATACCTCGTGCATTTTATTATTTGAATTCATTAAAATGTCTGTTTTGAGATGACATTATGCACTTTGGAAAACGAGAGACCTGAGGTGGTGACAAACCAGGACTTGGAATCACTGAATAGGACAATCGGAGCTTTATTCCAATGTTCTTTGAGCATTTGAGCATGAAGCTGCTTCTACTGAGAAGTACTCACGTGGATATCACATAACAAAGATGTGATTAATGACGGAAAAGCACCCTGCGAGTGGACTGCTCCATGAGCCAGAATTTATGTGTAGGAATAATCTAACTCTTCAAATATTCCATTTACAATGTGCCGGATTGGGACACTAGACCCTAAAGGCACTGTTTGCTGTGGGATATCCATGTGCACCCTGCCTAAAGCACGTTTTTCCACTAGCAAAAGAACTGATAAGCAGGTTTGGGTGGGTTCGAAAGATAATACACCCCTGTTACTACTTTTCTGCCTTTAAGTCCTGCAACTAAAGGCATTCCTTATGATTGGTAATCATTGAAGGTTAGTGTTGCGGGGTATGGCCCTGGGAACTTCTGGCCCATCTTTTATAGGAGGGAAAAAAAAAGCCCATTTGAAGATGGGAGGCACCCTAGCACCTCTGGCAGTAGTAGGTAAAGCCTGAAGGCCACAGATGGAGAAGCAACTTTGAGCCTGTGCCTCTGGCCTCTTGAAGACTTTGCTAGGGGAAGCAAATCTCTCCCACTGCTCCCTGTCCTCTGGTGGCCAGGAGGTGTTACTGCAGCTTCCTTGGGATTATTTGTGCTCTACCAGGAAACCCCTAAAAATCTAACTGTAGACCTTTGTTGGAGGTGTTGGGATTTTTAGGAAGGAAGAAGAAGATAGTCCTTTTACTAGTGGTACAGAGCATGGATCTTGCCTGGAGGAAAGATTCATGAGAATTAATGGTATCCCCTTTGCATGCCAAAGTTCCAGTAACCTTGCTTTAACTGACATGGCTTGAAACGTTTCTCCCCTTTCCTCAGTTACACAATTAAGTTTGTGTAATGTATGATGTGGTGCCATCATAGCTATCATAGAAGTCTCTCAGGGTATTTCATCTATTTCTGGAAACAAGACGTATATTAAAGCTCATTAAAAACGAAATCAATGATTGAGTGATGTACAATATTGGTTAAAAGAGTCAGGGGGCCGGGCGTGGTGGCTTAAGCCTATAATCCCAGCACTTTGGGAGGCCCGAGGCGGGTGGATCATGAGGTCAAGAGATCGAGACCATCCTGGCCAACATGGTGAAACCCCGTCTCTACTAAAAATACAAAAATTAGCCAGGCGTGGTGGTGGGCGCCTGTAGTCCCAGCTACTCAGGAGGCTGAGGCAGAAGAATCACTTGAACCCGGGAGGTGGAGGTTGCAATGAGCCGAGATCGCACCACTGCACTCCAGACTCCAGCCTGGCAACAGAGTGAGACTCCATCTCAAAAAAAAAAAAAAAAACAAACAAACAAAAAAAAACATCAGGGGAGAAAAGGAGCAATGTAGGCTGGGATTATCAGGGAAGGCACCTTATAAAGAGTTTTGACCTTATCCTTGAAGGACAGTTCAGATTTAGTTTGCAGTGAAGAAGCCAGTGGAGGGAAGATTCCAGAGGGCAAATGGCAATGAGCCAAGACATGGAGGTGGAATGAATAATGAGTAAGGTGTATTCAAGTGACAGAAGAGTAAACCCAGTAGCAGTAGAAATCGGTATTTAGCAATTAGGTATGAGGTTAAATTTAAGAGATACAGAGGCACATTGTGGAGGTACTTGAATGTTAGAATAAATAGATTGTTACCTGCCCAGCAGGTGAAGGGGAAACCACTAAACAAGTTTACTTCACCGAAGAGTACATTTCTTTCTTTTACTAAGAAAGGTTTTCTACATACTAACAATAAATATGTGGAAACAGCCCTCTCCCTCTCCCGCTCCCGCTCCCGCTCCCTCTCTTTCCACGATCTCCCTCTGATGCCGAGCCGAAGCTGGACTATACTGCTGCCATCTCGGCTCACTGCAACCTCCCTGCCTGATTCTCCTGCCTTAGCCTGCTGAGTGCCTGCGATTGCAGGCACGCACCGCCACGCCTGACTGGTTTTCGTATTTTTTTGGTGGAGACGGGGTTTCGCTGTGTTGGCCGGGCTGGTCTCCAGCTCCTAACCGTGAGTGATCCGCCAGCCTCGGCCTCCTGAGGTGCCGGGATTGCAGACTGAGTCTGGTTCACTCAGTGCTCAATGGTGCCCAGGCTGGAGTGCAGTGGCGTGATCTCGGCTCGCTACAACCTCCACCTCCCAGCCGCCTGCCTTGGCCTCCCAAAGTGCTGAGAGTGCAGCCTCTGCCCGGCCGCCACCCCATCTGGGAAGTGAGGAGCGTCTCTGCCTGGCTGCCCATCGTCTGGGACGTGAGGAGCCCCTCTGCCTGGCTGCCCCATCTGGAAGTGAGGAGCGTCTCTGCCCGGCCGCCATCCCATCTAGGAAGTGAGGAGCGCCTCTTCCCGGCTGCCATCCCATCTAGGAAGTGAGGAGCGTCTCTGCCCGGCCGCCCATCGTCTGAGATGTGGGGAGCGCCTCTGCCCCGCCGCCCCGTCTGGGAGGTGAGGAGCGTCTCTGCCCAGCCACCCCGTCTGAGAAGGGAGGAGACCCTCCGCCCGGCAGCCGCCCCGTCTGCGAAGTGAGGAGCCCCTCCGCCCGGCAGCCACCCCGTCTGGGAAGTGAGGAGCGTCTCCGCCCGGCAGCCACCCAGTCCGGGAAGGAGGTGGGGCTCAGCCCCCGCCAGGCCAGCCGCCCTGTCTGGGAGGGAGGTGGGGGGGTCAGCCCCACGCCTGGCCAGCCGCCCCGTCCGGGAGGTGAGGGGCGCCTCTGCCCGGCCGCCCCTACTGGGAAGTGAGGAGCCCCTCTGCCTGGCCACCACCCCGTCTGGGAGGTGTACCCAACAGCTCATTGAGAACGGGCCATGATGACAATGGCGGTTTTGTGGAATGGAAAGGGGGGGAAGGTGGGGAAAAGATTGAGAAATCAGATGGTTGCCGTGTCTGTGTAGAAAGAAGTAGACATGGGAGACTTTTCATTTTGTTCTGTACTAAGAAAAATTCTTCTGCCTTGGGATCCTGTTGATCTGTGACCTTACCCCCAACCCTGTGCTCTCTGAAACATGTGCTGTGTCCACTCAGGGTTAAATGGATTAAGGGCGGTGCAAGATGTGCTTTGTTAAACAGATGCTTGAAGGCAGCATGCTCGTTAAGAGTCATCACCACTCCTTAATCTCAAGTACCCAGTGACACAGACACTGCGGAAGGCCGCGGGGTCCTCTGCCTAGGAAAACCAGAGACCTTTGTTCACTTGTTTATCTGCTGACCTTCCCTCCACTATTGTCCTGTGACCCTGCCAAATCCCCCTCTGCGAGAAACACCCAAGAATGATCAATAAAAAAAAAATAATAAAAAATAAAAAATAATAATAAAAAATGTGGAAACAGAAATTAAAAACAGAACCATTTTACAATTGCTCCAAAGAACGTGAAATATTTACATATAAATCTAACAAAACATGTACAACATCTGTGTGATGAAAATTATAAAATGCTGATGAAAGAAATTAAAGAAGACAAATAATTGGAATGGCATACTATATTCATGGATTGGAAGAATCAATAAACATGTCATTTCTTCCCAAATTGATCTATAGAGTTAACGTAATTTTCATCAATATCCCAGCAAGGTTTTTTGTAGTCATAAGCAATCTTAAACTAAAACAGTGTCCAACACATCTAGAGGACTGAGTGAGTGCTAGACTCCCCCAAGACAGAGGAAGAGCACATACACTTAGGGCACCAGCAAGGCAGGGAGTCCAAGGTTTACAATCAGATAATCTAGAAAGAAGCTATTTTTGCTTCAGTACATGTAAGTGTGTGGTTTAGTACTGTTTTTTAGTTAGAGTTAAATATGGGGAAGGAGCACCAAAATTGCTGGTTAGAATTAAATATGGGGGAGAAGCACCATAATCCTTAGTGTTTAGACCCTCTTAAGGTCTTACTTAATCCATCCCTGGCTGAAGTTTATTCATTGACAAACAGTGATTGAGTGCCTACTACCCTTATGTGCCAGGCACTGCACCTAGCTCTGGGAATATGGTTATAAATAAGATTACCTATCTCTCATGAAACTAACATTCAAGTGGAGAGAGAAGACAATAAGCCAATAAACAAAAACCACGGCCTGGACTGTGACAAGATGGACTACACAGGGAAAAAAAACTGGGTGAGGTGATAGTGAGTGACTTGGGGTAGGGGTGAAGGTGGTGGGGGAAGTTCAAATGAAGAGGGGACATTTGAACTGAGACCTTAAGGATGGCAACAGGGGAAGTGGTCAGGGTAGAGAAAACAGGTCACTCTAAGACCGTTCAGCAGAAACAGAGTGACTTGTAGAGAGTTGGTGTGTTCCCAGAGCCAAAGGAAGCCAGTGGGGCACAAAAGTATAAAACAAGGGTGGGCAGGAGCCAGATTATGTAGTACCTTATAGTGTATGGAGTTCAGATTCTATTCTGAAAGATTTAAGCAGTTAGTACATGATCTGATTTATGAAGAGGACATTTGCAATTAAGTAAGCATAAAAGGTTGCGTTTTAGAGAGTTGGGTTTTTTTTCAAGCAGATAAAAGCCTGTTTTGTTTGAATGGTCTATGTAATTACTGAGGCCACTATGTATAGACAAGAAAGGAGGAGCTTTATCTCTCGGTCTCTTCCTCCTTGGACAACATCTTGATGATCTCCTCCTTCTTGGCCTGGAGGCACTCGTCATGAAGTTTGCACACTTCCTTAGTCTTAGGCCAGTGGGCCTCAGCCTGGTCCACCAGGAGCTTCTTGCGGGACTTGTCTACCTTCAGCTTGCGGACAATTCCATGAGAATACGCTTGTTTTTGAACACAATCCCTTTCACCTTCTGGTACAGAGTGTAATACATGTGGCAATCAGTCTTCTTAGATTCACAGTATCTTCTAAGAAGCTGGCACAGAATCCTCATTCTCCTTATCCAGGTTACCTTCCCTGGCCTTTGGGCATTGGCTGTACCTTCTTGCTTACCTATGCCCAGGTGCCTGCCCTTCCGATGGTCCAAGGTTTTCTGGCATCAAGGAGCCTGGGAATGGACAGGCACAGGCTTGCGGATGATCAGCCCATGTTTGATCAGCTTCTGGATTTGCTGATGGGAGTTAACATTGGTCTCTGGGAGCCAACCAGACCTTCTTTTTGCCACAGCAAAAGACATTAGAGGAAAACTTCCTCTGAAGCCTGAGCATATGCATGGCTTCAGCTGCAGCAGCAAAAACAGTTTTAATATTCTCTATTTTTTAGGTAATATAACAGCTCCCTTTTCCAATAGGAAGAGAGAGTTTTTGACAATTTTGTTAATCTCCAAGGATCCTTTGAATGTTCCTAAGTCAAATGTTCTTAGCCTAGGATTTGTGGATTCCTAGAGAGTATATAGATGGGCTCCAGAGGGTCTAAGAGCCCCCTAAAATTTTGTGTATATATGCTTATACATGTTTTTCTGTGAGTGGGTCCCTAGCTTTCAACAGATTTTCTTTTCTTTTCCTTTTTAATGAGATGAGGTCTCCTACTGCCGAGGCTTGAGTACATAATCATGGCTCACTGCAGTCTCAACCTCCAGGGCTCAAGTAATCCTCCTGCCTCAGCCTCCCAAGTAACTAGGACTACAGGTGCAAACCACTATGCCTGGCTAATTTTTAAAACTTTTGGCCGGGTGCGGTAGCTCATGCCTGTAATCCCAGCGCTTTGGGAGGACAAGGCGGGCGGATCATGAGGTCAGGAGATCAAGACCATCCTGGCTAACACGGTGAAACCCCGTCTCTACTAAAAATACAAAAAATTAGCCGGGTGTGGTGGCGGGCGCCTGTAGTCTCAGCTACTCGGGAGGCTGAGGCAGGAGGATGGCGTAAACCCGGGAGCTTGCAGTGAGCTGAGATCGCACCACTGCACTCCAGTCTGGGCGACAGAGCGAGACCCTGTCTCAAAAAAATAAAAAATAAATAAATAAAACTTTTTTTCTGTAGAGATGGGGTCTTGCTTTGTTGCCCAGGCTGGTTTTGAACTCCTGGGTTCAACCATCCTCCTGCTTCAGTCTCCCAAAGTGCTGGGGTTACAGGCATGAACCACCATGCACAGCTGCAACAAACTTTCAAAGGATTTTATCACACACACAAAAAAAGTGAATAAGACCTACTTCACATTAAAGTCTTGGCTATACTTCTGGGATAGTAGCTGCTACTGTTATCTTAGGGTTCATGACACTGAACAAATTACAGTTCTAGAAAGAAGCAAGTTCTGCCTCAGAGATGACACTATGTTGGAGGAGGGCAATATTTACAGCAAAGTAGGAAGGAACTTCTTGGAAGAAAAATGTTAACCTGCGTGATGTGAGAACTAGAAGATACCTAGGAAATTACCTGGTACCATCTCACATTACATGTAAGAAAATGAAGGTCCAAAGAGGTTAAACGACTTGCCCAAGGTTGTATAGCTAGTTAGGGACTAAAAAGGAATTCCAAACAGGTCACCAACACTCAGCACAGCACTCTGTGCTCCCCATGGAAAGGTATACAAAGAAACTGGACTATTGAGCTTTAAAGTTTAATAGGAAATATGTGTTAAATTTTATTCAACTCAATTACACAAGTGCATGCTCATTCCTAAGGAACTGGAAGGAAAGAGGGAAGTAAAGGAGTTCAAAAATGTGTAAGTTCTCAGTCCTGAAGGAGATGAAAAACATGAATGTTAAGATGTACAATCAAAACAAAGTAAATAGCAGTAACACTTTTTTTTTTTTTTTTTTTTTGAGACAGTCTCGCTCTGTCACCCAGGCTGGAGTGCAGTGGCGCGATCTCAGCTCACTGAAACCTCCGTCTCACAGGTTCAAGCGATTCTCCTGCCTCAGCCTCCTGAGTAGCTGGGATTACAGGCACGCACCACCACACCTGGGTAATTTTTGTATTTTTAGTAGAGACGGGGTTTCACCATTTTGGCCAGTCTGACACCTGAGGTCAGGGGTTCGAGACCAGCCCGGCCAACACTCTATATTATCAGTCTATATCTGATCTTTCTGCAGCAGATTTGTTAAACAGACTCAATAAGTTATAAAAACTAGACAATTTTTCACTTATCAATTTGGCAGTTATTTTAAAAACCGGTAATCCCACAGTTGAGTTAACAATATGGAGAAACAGACTTTCTCATTAGCACTGGTGAGAATATAAACAGGTATAACTCTTCTGGAGGGCAGTTTGGCAATATGCTTATGAAAGTCTTTAAAAATGCATACCCAACAATTCTACTTTACGAATTTATCTTGGCCGGGTGCGGTGGCTCACACTTGTAATCCCAGCACTTTGGGAGGCCAAGGCAGGTGGATCACGAGGTCAGGAGATCGAGACCAGCCTGGCCAACATGGTGAAACCCTCTCTCTACTAAAAATACAAAAATTAGCCGGGAGTGGTGGCAGATGCCTATAATCCCAGCTACTCGGGAGGCTGAGGCAGGAGAATTGCTTGAACCCGGGAGGCAGAGGTTGCAGTGAGCCCAGTGAACCAAGATGGCTCCCCTGCACTACAGCCTGGGTGACAGAGCTAGAGCTAGACTCTGTCTCAAAAAAAAAAAAAAAGAATTTATCTTAAGGAAATGATAGTACTATTTTCAAAGACATGACTGAGGATATTAATCATAATAAATAATAGCTAGCATTTATTGAATATTACCTCATTTAATTCTCATAACTATTAATCTTCTCAGTTTACAGTTAACTTGCCAGTGGGACACAGTGGCTCACACCTGTAATCCCAGCACTTTGGGAGGCTAAGGCAGGCAGATCACTTGGGCTCAGGAGTTCGAGAACAGCCTGGGCAACGTAGCCAGGCCTCGTCTCTACAAAAAAACTTTAAAAAAATTAGCCAGGTGTGGCTGGGCATGGTGGTTCACACCTGTAAGGTAATCCCAGCACTTTGGGAGGCCGAGGAGGGTAGATCACCTGAGGTTGGGGGTTTGAGATCAGCCTGGGAGAAACCCTGTATCCACTAAAAAAATACAAAAAATTAACCAGGCATGGTGGCGCATGCCTGTAATCCCAGCTACTCGGGAGACTGAGGCAGGAGAATTGCTTGAACTCGGGAGGCAGAGGTTCAGTGAGCCGAGATCGTACCATTGCACTCCAGCCTGGGCAACAAAAGTGAAACTCTGTCTCAAAAAACAAACAAACAAAACAAAAAAAAATTAGCCAGTTGGGGAGGCACATGCTTGTAGTCCCAGCTACTCAGAGACTGAGGCAGGAGGATCACTTGAGCCCAGGAAGTCAAGGCTGCAGTGAGCTGTGATTGTGCCACTGCACTCCAGGCTGGGCAACACAGTGAAACCCTGTCTAAAATATCAAAGGATTTGGACTTTTTTCAAGGCAAGCAATGGAGGAGCCATTGAAAAATTTTTAAACAAGAAAGATCAGATTCACACTTTTCCATACAGAGAATGGTTAGGTGGGGCAGACGTAAAGCAAGACAG